>NC_000001.11:50008380-50159895 GCF_000001405.40 Homo sapiens | reverse complement strand
ACTTGCCCACCCCGGGGCAGCAGAAGATCTCCCCTCTTTCTTAATGAAATAAATGAGGTCTTCATGTAGGAACTGTTGCAAACTGCCTCCTTGTCTCCCACCCTCAAATTTATCCTCCAAGGACTCCATTCTTCTCTACTGGCTTAGAAAGGAGAGTATACAAAATGCTGGAGGGAAAAGGGTTCCTTGGGTAATGCTCCATATTATGCCATTCCTTTTCACGTCGTGTTAGCACAGGTTCAGAGAAGTACTGATAAAAAGAGCCCCCCATTTTTTTTTTTTATTTTGAGATGGAATCTCGCTCCATCACCCAGGCTGGAGTGCAGTGGTGTGATCTCAGCTCACTGCAACCTCCGCCTCTCAGGTTCAAGTGATTCTCGTGCCTCAGTCCCCCAAGTAGCTGGTATTACAGGCACCCACCACAAAGCCCAGCTAATTTTTTGTATTTTTAGTAGAGATGGGGTTTCACCATGTTGGCCAGGCTGGCCTCGAACTCTTGACCTCAAGTGATCCGCCTGCCTCGGTCTCCCACAGTGCCAGGATTATAGGCATGAGGCACCATGCCCCACCAATAAATCACTTTTAAACTTGGTTCACTTCAGTTTTTCAAACTCATTTGGTCACAGAACCCCTTTTAAAAAACATTATCAATTAAGCGCCTTTGGAAAAGATTTTTAGATGGAATTCTCAAATGAATATTACCCTTTGAAACAGGACTGAATACTGTCTCAAGATTTTTACTTAAGGTGGGGGATCTGGTCCCCAAACCTGAACTATAGTTCCTGAAATAACAATCCTGCCAGTTGAAAATAAGACCAAGCCACAGAGTATTTCTTTCTTTTTTTTTTTTTTTTTTGAGAAGGAGTCTTGCTCTGTCGTCCAGGCTGGAGTGCAGTGGCACAATCTCGGCTCACTGCTGCAACCTCTGCCTCCTGGGTTCAAGCAATTCTCTGCCTCAGCCTCCCGAATAGCTGGGATTACAGGCGCCTGCCACCATGCACAGCTTGTTTTGTATTTTTAGTAGAGATGGAGTTTCACCATTTTGGCCAGGCTGGTCTTAAACTCCTGACCTCGTGATCCACCCGCCTTGGACTCCCAAAGTGCTGGGATTACAGGGGTGAGCCACCAGGCCTGGCTGCCATGGAGTACTTTTAAGGTCTCTTTTCACTGTGACAGTCTATGATTTGGCTTCTCAGATGACATCACAGAGTCTTGCTTCTGGGATAATCTAGACACAGGACAGAATTGCATAGTGGGGAGGGGAGTCAGACATCTGAAGACACATTTTCATGTTGGTACAAGTTGTACAAGTCTGGTTCTAGCTCACTGTGTGAGTAGTCAGCAGTGAGCTCCTGAAGTTTCACTAGGAGAACCAAAGACCCAAGGAAAAAAATGCAAAACAATTGTGTGTGGCTGTATGGATAGTCAAGCAGGAGCAAACTCTCATAGGTACACACATACACACATGCAGACACACACACACACAAACAGAGTATCTACACTTAATGAACTAGGCATACGACCCTGGAAGCTAGTACAGTATAGTAAATACAAACAGAGGCTTTGGAGTCAAATAAACATTGGTTCGACTTTGCCACTTAGAAGCTGTGTGATCTTAGATAAGTTACTTTCTTATCCAAGATCACACAGCTGTTTCCTCATCTATAAAATGGAGCTAATAATACCTACATCTCACAGAACTCCTGTAAGAATTATATTACTATATGCCAGGTGTTGTTCTGGGTAGTTTACATAAATTAATGTTCACAATAATCCTATCAGTATCACTATTTTATAAATGATAAACCTGAGGCCCAGAGAAGTTAAAAATTTGCCTGTTACACAGCTAGTAAATGATAAGGCAGAGACGTAGATATAGGTAGTCTAGCTCTTAATCACTAGACTATCCTGTCTAGCACCGTGCTGGATTAGCTTAGGCCTAAAATATTCCCTTAGCAGACACAGATACACATATCTATATATACAAACACCCTATACCTCCTCTTCCTCTCTGGTTTTTTAAATCTGATGTTTTGGTTATTAGTTTATTACATGGTGCCATTCAAATGGGCAACATGTGGACACCAGCTTCCCAAACACAAGGATCCTATGTGGCTGCTCAAGGAACAAAAGAACAAATTCAAGCCTGAGAAATGTTAGTTCATTCTGAATGATGACTCACAGCCGCTATTTTCACAAACAGCCTGCTAATTAAACTTTCTTATGAACTCTGCTAACCAATTTTCCCAATGCATGGAGGAAAAATCATTCATTATAGACCGGAATCCAAAATCTAATATTAACAGCACAAGTAGGATCTGTGGCATTGTAATTTGATCAGCTTGAGCATTAATAACAGTTAGACACTGATGTCTGAGAGAGTTAATCAGCTTTTGTTGAGATGTACGCAGATAACTGAGCAAAACTTCTGGAAGGCAGACTAGGAAGGAAAGATAGCTTATCACAGGGGGTTTAAGGGTTTGTTTTACCCTCATAAATCCCCTGCTTACAATGTCCTATCTTATAGGTGACCACAGTAATATCCTGAATTTACCAGCACATTAGCAAATCATCTGATCTCACAACACACAGAAAGGTGCGAAAAGTCAGTATTATCTCCATTTTATGCACAACAACCTGAGGCACAGAATGGCTTGATCCACCAAAAGTCCCATAGCTAGCCCGAGAACAAGAACTTAGTGGATCCTTCCACTTTATCATGTTACCACTTATAGAAGTGGCCTAATTTTAAAAAAAATCTCAGAAATTATCCTGACATATTCAACTACAGACCGTCCCCGACTTACAATGGTTGGATTTATGATGACTTCTTGACTTTACAATGGGTTTATCAGAGTATTAAATGCATTTTCAACTTATGATATTTTCAATTTATGACGGTGTATCAGGATATAATCCCACTGTAAATGGAGGAGCATCTTATTGAACTAAAGGCTTTCATTTACAATCTTCCAGAACCACTGAAATTGGTGTTCATTATTTCTGCAGCTATTCCTGAGGTTTACTGGAATACAATGTACAGCCACATTCATGACTCAGGATGAAACAGCAAGAATGTGGGAAACCCTCTCTTGTGAAGGTCTCTCGTCCCAGCTGGCAGACAGACATGGGTATGCAGCCGGCTTGGCCACTTGCTTGCTGTGTGACCTTAGGCTAGTCACATTAAACTCCAGGAACCTTGGTTTCCTTGTCTAAATAAGGGGGTCACTAATGTGTACCTACTGTAGATGTGGTCAGGATTAAATGAGATAAATATAAGGCGGCATCTAACATCTGGCATCTAGCAGGTGCTTAGTAAACGTAAGTTTCCATTCTATTCTCCTGCCTTCTCAGATGCCATCTCCTACTTCCTACTTGGAATTACATAACCTAGGATTGAACCAGGAACAGACATCCACCTTCCCTCTCCTCCCCCTTTATCCATCTGTTGGCCCAGGGCTAACACCCTTGATGAGAAGTGGTTAGGAGTTACGAGATAGGAGCAACCCATTTATAGACTGCTTTCATTTACAAAGTGCCTTCGCATGTATCACCTGGTTTGAATTCACAAGTACCATCCAAAGAAGGTAGGGTTAAGATTTATCTTCTCTACTGTGTATTGAGGAAATGGAGATCCAAAGGGATAACATGACTTACATAAGGTTTCAAATACATCTATCAAGTATGGGGTGGGGAAGGCAAGGCAGGACTTTCAGTGAAGTCTGTCTCAATTCTGGTTAGTCTGATGCACTGGGTTTGGTATTTCTGACCAGAAAGTGTTTGGGGGATGTGTTTGTGTGTGTGCCTGCGTGCGCACATGCCTGCCAGAAAAGTGTTTGGGGGATGTGTGTGTGTGTGTGTGTGCGTGCCTGTGCACGCACATGCATGCCAGAAAAGTGTTTGGGGGATGTGTGTGTGTGCTGGGGTGTGCGGAGCTCTTGGGTAGTGCTGTCTCTCTCTCGTACTTAGAGGGTGATCTGTGTCCATTGACTGGTGAGGGGCACTGGGAAGAGCAAAGGTGGTTGAGGACTAGTTCCAGTTTCCACAGTTAGGACCAGGATATGAGAGTGACATTTGAGTTTCCTGTTTGTTGTCCAGCTCAGGGCTCTGGGTAATGAGAAACCAGACAGAACTCACTGCAGAAACCCTCACGAGAAAGACGGAAGCTGAAAACTGAAGTTCCTGCATGTCCAGCCTTGGGGTCTGAAGGGAGAGGAAAGACTGAAGTGACTCAGAAAGCAGTAATACTTCAGTAATACCTCAGTTCAGGGCAGCAGGCAAGGAAGGCCTGCTTCAGAACACCTCCTCCATAGGGCACATTGTTTATACCTTATATTAATAAAAACAAGAACTCCACTCAGGCAGCTTCTCTGTGTTACTGCCTGCCCTAGCCATAAAAAGCAAGTCAATCAATCCAAAATGGACCCAGGCAAGAAAGATGAGGAAAATTCCATGTATATGATTTCAGGCTTTCTATCCAATCCTGCATTACAGTGGGCAAGTGTCTCTACAATCAGAGGCCTGTCTCCAGAGAAAGGGCTACAGGGCCAGTGGTGGGAGAGGGTGTGGGGATTCTGGTAACTACTTGAGAAAGGAACCAAAGTTGTCACCATTCATTTTCATTGATGTAAAGAAAACTCCTAGATGGGAATTGAACAATGAGAACACATGGACACAGGAAGGGGAACATCATACTCTGGGGACTGTTGTGGGGTGGGGGGAGGGGGGAGGGATAGCATTAGGAGATATAACTAATGCTAAATGACGAGTTAATGGGTGCAGCACACCAGCATGGCACATGTATACATATGTAACTAACCTGCATATTGTGCACATGTACCCTAAAACTTAAAGTATAATAATAATTAAAAAAAAAGAAAACTCAAACTAGGTGGTCCGTTTGAGTCATTTAACCACAATTAATTTACTAAATTTCCTCTGGTCTCCTTTTACCATTCTATATCCATTTCCTTCTATTCTGTTTTTTAAAAAAATTGATGGCTATTTCAATTTTAGTTTTTTCCATACTATCTAATAAGCCAATGAAAATCCTTTTTGGATCAAAGTGACATGTCAAAAAACAAGAAGGCAGAAAGAGGAAGCAGGACAAACACACACACACACACACACACACACACACACAAAATATAACAACAACAACAAACCAGGCAAAGAAAAGAGAGGAAGAAAGAGCAAGAAAAATAAGCAGCCAAGTGCTCTTGACTCGTCAAAGGAAGTACTGAGTATAAAAGCCTCTGAAAACAAACACTAAGGGCAAATATCAGGGATTGCTAAGTGTATATTTTATGCTTATATCACCAATAAAATTATTTAATCTGATTCCAGAAGTTTGTGATGAGAAATTCCATTAGCGGCCATAGGAATTAGAGTTATTACCCTAGCTAGCTGTATCCACTTTGTGTTTATGAGGCCTTGTATCTCACCAGACATTCAACTACAAAATAAGGGACATGCAGAAAACTCAACTTAGAAATCCGCAAGAACTAAGTAGGTGGAAAGCAAGTCACTGAGCAAATGGGTACATCACCTTAGAGAGATAAATAATGGTTCTCAGATCACAGACGCCATGGGAAGTCTGAAAGCTGTCAACTTCCTTCTGTGTTAGGTAGAGTTAGTTACTAGCAAAGTAGAAGGAACGCAGACCTCAGAATCAGACTTGGGTTCAAATATCAGCTCCACCGCTTATTAACTGTGACCCTGGATAAATTATTTAACATCTCTGAGCTTCAGATATTTCACTGACACAAAGGTGGTATCCCCATTTACCCGACAGAGTAGTCCTGCCTGTTCTATTCATTATCTCTTGAAGATGTCTGTATTAGGCAGCTTGGGCTACTATAAGAAGATACCACAGACTGGGTGGCTTAAACAACAGAAATTTATTTTCTCACAGTTCTGGAGTCTGGAAATCCAAGATCAGGGTGCTAGCATGGTTGGGTTCTAGTGAAGGCTCTTTTTCTGGCTTGCAGATAGCTGCCTTCTTGCTTGTTGCATATGTATGGAGAAAATTCCAGTCTCTCTTCCTCTTCTTATAAGATCACTAATCTTATCAGATCAGGGATCTACCATTATGGCCTCATTTAACCTTAATTACTTCTGCAGAGGCCCTATCTCCAAAAACTATTACATTGGGGGTTAGAACTTCAACATAAGAATTTTGCGGGGACATAAACATTCATTCCATAACAATGTCTCTGAAGCTTCGCTCAGCTGCCTCCTCTGCATGGACTGGTCTCCTACAATCTAATCTCTACCAAATTCAGGGCCAAGTTGAAGGCTCGCTTTTCTTTGACACTTGCTTTGAGAATCTCAGTCTATTGTCATCTTTTTCTCCTTTGAACACCCATAACTGATGTTGTCTTCATTCAGCACAGACAGAGTGGTATGGTAACAGAAAGACCATAGACTTTGCAGTCAGATGCCCTAACCCCACTCACCAGCTGACTAATTCTAGGTCTTGGGTTCTGCATCTGCAAAATGGGAATAAAATCACTGATCAGGCAACACTGATATAAAGCTTCAATGAGATAACATCTATAATATGCCTAGCACTGTAGCTGACACGCAGTAGGCATTCCATCAAACCTCCAACTTCATTGTATCATTATGAATCCTTTTTCACCATCCTTCCAATGACATTAATAGCCAGGACCAAGGAAAAGTAAGATTGGGCCTTGGTGAAGAACAAAACAAAACAACCTCCACTTCCCTCTTGCCCCCGCCCACAAAACAGCAAGGTAGATGTGTAGTTAATATGCATAATAAGCAGCCAGCTCCCCGTCACTTCCAGACTTTCATGAAGGGCTGTCATTTGTTCTGGTTTCCCTGGCTCGTTGGTCCTGCAGCAACACATGGGCACAAACTATGACTTATCCATTTTGACCTCCTCACAGACTGTGATACAGAATTTCAGAGAAGGGAAGGAAAGGGAATAATATCTATTTGGTCTGAGAGAGTAGACACTAAATAAATACTGTTGGTTGATTGAAAATGTTTTACAAATATAAAAACCTTATACAAATATATGATCTCTATCTGAATTTTATCTTCTCTCCAAACTAGAAATATCTTCTCCTATCAAAGCTCAATTTTGGGACTGTAGAAAAAACGAAAAAGCAACTTAATGATCTTTAGTTCTTACGAGGAATAAACACAGATACAGAGTTTATCAGTTAAGAGCAGTCAGGGAGATGTGGAATGGGGGCGAGGGGGCAGATTGGAAAAAGAAATCACCACTACTACACCTCACAGAAGACAAGAAGAAAATGAATTTCCCATTAACACATTTCAGAAAGCACTTTCCTCCTACCCTGAAGCTGATGAATTACATTTTTAGATAATGTGTGGAAATTTCAGTTTGACATTACCTTCCTCCTTAGTTCCTAGTCTCAATCAACCAGGGCATTCTACAGAGAAGGGAGGAGTGAGTGAGTGAATGTGTGGGTGTGTGTGTGTGTGTGTGTTGGGGGAAGAAGAGAAGGCTGCGTGAACAGGGAATTGGTCTTACGAACCAAACAGTCAGCTAAAGTACAGAAATAGAAAATTCTTAAAATACCCAGCCTGATTCACATCCTAGGTAAAAATCCTTTGAGACATCTCTTCTGGGATGTGAGAATACTTTCCTACGGTTATCTGAGTTCGGAAGCAGGGCAGAACTGTCTGATTTGGAAGGTAAGATGAAGGGGAACACAGCCAGGAGGCAAAAGGAAACCATACCTGGTCTGTAATCCTGACTACAGACATCCTGGGAAAAAATTGTGTCAGAAGATGCATAATGTACCTGCACAAACCCTAAACCTCACAGCTCCACTCAACTGCCAACCTGCCCTAATTAGAAAGGATGGAAAGTCTCTGATTCCCCCTGATGAGTGTGTAAGAAGCACAATGATTACATGGTTTACTGTTTGCACTACACGTTCTGACGTTCTTCAAGTTCCCCTTAATAAGGCAGACTCCAATTCTCCTGTTTTGCAACCCCATTAGGCTGCCAAATCTTCTCCATACCTAAAAATTTTCCACTCACCTCCAACAATAGCCAACCCCCTCTTCCCGAGTCAACAAATCAAAACTCTTTTATTCTTCTTTGTAGAATATGTATGACTGCAGGGAGGTGGTAAATAAAATGACAGATGCGAATCTGCCTGATTTTCCTCTGAAATCAGGAGATACATCACATTGTACTAAGCACATTTTCCAAATCAGCAGCAAAATATGCTGATAAATGCTACCATTTGCTGTACTCTTCCCATCACTAATCACTTTCCGTCTTATGTGCATGTAGAAAAGTTCATTTAGCTAATCAATATCTTGGGATTTTCTTGGATATGCCTAAATGAGGCTGGGTTTTTATTATGCTTAAATTGTAGGCAGCATCCATTTCAATACAGTGCCTGCACAATAAAGAAAAGGTGAACATACTGAAGAGTATTTCACGAAAAGAGAATATCAGAAGTGAAAAAACCACTCCAAGTCTAGTCTTCTTTGTTTAGCTAAGCAGTGACCTGTTTAATACCAAAAATTTATCTTTTTAATGCACTGTGTGCTATTTTCCAAAACAAAAGATTCTGAGCTCTAATTATGTTTTCCCGGTATTCAAAAATTTCATTCCCTAGGTATACAAGCTGAGTTAGTTTGTAAAGGGGAGGAGTCAGTTTAGTATTTTGGGGCAAACTGCCAGAAATAAAGTATAAATTTGACAATTCACAATTAGTCAGTGCTGGGTTCAAGTACCACCTCCCTTAACTTGGAAGCTAAGTCACGTTGGCCAGTAATTCAACTGCTCCTGATTTCAAGTTTCTGCATCTGTAAAATGGCCATCATGAGGATTATGTGAGACTCCGTCTACTGATCTCAGCACAATGCTTGGCACACAGTAAGTACTCAAAAGCATTGGCCATTATGATTCTCCAAGATAGCTTGATTTATTATTTAAATAAGCTACTATATTTAAAGCATTATTATAGTGCCCAGTAAACATATTAAGGCACACACAAAAAATAAAAGCTGTTGCAGTTATTCTTATATGTCTGCTGGGTGTTGTAAGAAATTATGCCAATAAACTCACCTTGGGGCTGAATTCACATTTTGGGAGTGAGTTCAAGGAATTTTTATATCTTAGGATTTTTCAGAGCCTTTTATTGTTTATATAGTTATCTCAGAAGTAAAATTCAACCAAATTCCCATAGTGTTCCTATAAGTCCAGTACATGAAAGTATATAAGGTACATTAAAACAATCCAGAACCCTCACTCCCCTCTCCTCTTCAACCCAATAGACTGTACTCTGTCATGACTCAAAGCCTAGATGCTCTAATAGATACTGTGGCCACCGCTGTGGTCCATTTCCCACATCTCACCTACTGAGAGAGACACGCTCAGGATTGTTAGCACTTTCAGAAATTCAAGAAAGAACACAAGTTACCCAGTGTTACTGCATCAAAACTGAGTTGGTTCCTTTAATTAGAGTTGTAAATTCAGATACAAAGGCAGCAGCAAAATATCCACCCTCTTGCCCACAGTAGTGAAGGTCATTTATTTGGCCTTATTCTTTTTCCACTAAATGATATTAATTAAACCAAAGAGACGTATTATAAAGGAAGAAATGAAGACACGGATTAGAAGTGGTGTTTAGGAAATGTTGTCTTTGTCCATTGGGGTACAACTCTAACTGACTGAATTTTTTGGTATGCTTAACTTCATTTGACCATGCTGCTTCATATTAGACCACTGCTTCCAAAGAGACATGTTCCAGCGCTACTTCTTTTGTCCAAAGCACAGAGGAATAAAAAATGCTTTTGTTCTTT
This sequence comes from Homo sapiens, assembly GCF_000001405.40. Lineage (NCBI taxonomy): Eukaryota > Metazoa > Chordata > Mammalia > Primates > Hominidae > Homo > Homo sapiens. The sequence continues at coordinate 50,150,073 of NC_000001.11, read as the reverse complement.
GACTAAAATTTTAGCTCTATTCCTTTGCTTTTCTTTCCTCTACCTAAATCCTTACCCTATCTTTTAAACTTTCCCCAACAGCTCCAGCTAACACCAACCTCACCTCTTCCAACCACCTATAGCACTTACGTATTAATAGCATGTTCCATATACTTGTCTCTTAATAGATTCAGTTTTGTTATTGATAATGTTCAGTTTGGTCTGTCCTGTCCTCAAAAACAAAGTACACTGTGGCTAGGCACAGTGGCTCATGCCTGTAATCCCAGCACGTTGGGAGGCCGAGGCAGGCAGATCACAAGGTCAGGAGTTTGAGACCAGCCTGGCCAATATGGTGAAACCCTGTCTCTACTAAAAATACAAAAATTAGCCAGGCGTGGTGGCGGGTGCCTGTAGTCCCAGTTACTCGGGAGGCTGAGGCAGGAGAATCACTTGAACCCAGGAGGTGGAGGTTGCAGTGAGCCGAGATTGCACCACTGCACTCCAGTCTGGGCAACAGAGTGAGACTTCATCTCAAAAAAAAAAAAAAAAAAAGGACAATGCATGGGTACACAGAGAGTGACATGAAGTAAAAATACAATTCTTTTTTTTATCACTGTGATGCAAATAATCACACAATGTAAATAGGCAGGTCAAAACTGTTTGTTGTCTTACACTGATTTCTTTTTTCTTTTTCTTTTTTTTTTGAGACAGAGTTTCGTACTTGTTACCCAGGCTGGAGCGCAATCTCAGCTCAATGCAACCTCCGCCTCCCAGATTCAAGCAATTCTCCTGCCTCAGCCTCCCGAGTAGCTGGGATTACAGGCGCCCACCACCACGCCTAGCTAATTTTTGTATTTTTAGTAGAGACGGGGTTTCACCATGTTGGCCAGGCTGGTCTTAAACTCCTGACCTCAGGTGACCCATCTGCCTTGGCCACCCAAAGTGCTGGGATTCCAAGCGTGAGTCACTGCGCCTGGCCTAATTTCTTTCTAGAGATTTTTCTTTTTTTTTCTTTCCTTATTTGTTTTGGGGCGGTAACAAGATAAACACTTATAAAAATGCAAAAAAGGCAAAGAAATAATAATAATAATTCAGCTCTGCTGGTTTCAAGACATACCCTGAGCCACCTAACCTTGCCCTGGTCAAGCCACATGTTTTCTCCCCTAAAATACTGATCACATAGGAACTTGGATTCAGTAAGGCAATCTCAATGTTTACAAAACAAAACCAAAACCAAAATGGTAACAAAACAAAAAAATAAGAAACTAAATCAACTCCTTGGAGTCCATGGGAATAATATAATTTCTACCAGGTATTTGGTGTTCTTTGCCTGAGTTTCTAGGTTGCATGAACTCTGTGGGTCACATGACACTTCCTTTGTTTTCCCCAGCAGCAGAGGCTGCAGGTAGATGAAGAAGAAAAGCTAAAGACTTAGCTTCCAATGCCATGATGTGTCACGGCTGTACACAAAAGCAACTCAGGATATGCCTTTCTTCTCCCTGGTACCTGGATTATTCTGGTGAGTGTCCTTTCCCAATTGGAAAAAGAAAAATGTAATGTCTCTGAGAAGATAAGTAACAGAGATGTCCAAAAGCAAGGTATCTTAAAACTGGCATTTTCAGTAAATTTGGTTCTACTCTGAAGGAAGACAAAGGCTGAGTTATATCCCCAGAGGATGATAAATATTGTTATCTTTGCTCCCTTTATACACATGAGTCTTGTTTAAAGCCATGGTACATTAGATAGACTCTCCAGAGGGTGCCCAGCAACCTCTGCTCAGCAGAACACAATGTTGCATTGGGTTATGAAGTGCAGGTTAGGCAGGGTCTTTACCCTGTACATGCCTCCAAATAAAATCATGCTTTTGGAAAGTAGGGGTGACTCCCAGCTCCACCACCTGCTAATAACTATGCTGCCTGGGGAAATCACCAAGCTTCAGTTTCCTCATCTAAGAAAATGGAGGCTCCGTGTTAAATGAAATAGGGTATGTCCAGCGCTTAGCAAGTATCCAGCACAGATGAAGTGCTTGATAAATGGTGATGTTTATGTCCCCAGCACATAACACTTAACTCCATGACCAAATTTCTTCTATCTGTTCTCAAACGGAGAATTCATTGACAATTCACAGCCAGGGATGAATCTAGCCTGCTGGTAAGGCTATCAACAGAGTCACTTCCTCTCTCTGTAAAGAGATTTTAACATTGCAGAAGCCAGAACCTTCTAAGGGAATCCATTACATTCTCTTAGGGAGTGGTTGGGGCTGGAAAATCTTAATCTTGAATTCTTATCTCTTTGCCACCTCCCACCCCCCAATCCTCCCACTGGATATTTAGAACTCCTTGTAAACTTCACAGGATCGAGATGCATTGAGATCTGTAGGAGGTGTTGGAGGAAAAAGGGGGACTAGGATGTTAAAAATCAGGGCAACAAAAATACCCATGATGTCATTTACCCTGACTTCTGAACCACCAGCTGCAGCCTCTCCACTTGCCTGGTGTGATATACCTCACCTCTTCCAGCCTGCATTGTGACCTAACCCCAAATGTTGGCCTCGGGGAGGTCCTCCGCTAGAGCAATTCCCACTCCTTCCCCATTTCCCCACAGCCCTATCTCTCCCTCCTTCTCTGACTTTTAGCATAGCCAATTAAACCTGAACAACGGGTGGATGGAGGAAATATGCTGCATCTATGGAATGGTACAGCAGGGACTAGTTTCACTGTTAATTTAAAATGCTAGAATTAATTAGGTAGTGTAAATGAAGAATTTAATAAGCACTCTTTACAACCACAAGTTTTACTTCTATTAAACACTGCTGTCAAATGAGGGCAAATATCTCTGGTCTCTCTCTATATTTCCCTGCCTCATTCCCATAAGCTCTCTACAAATAAAAATTTTTTGGGCCTGAATTTAAGAAGAATGCATAATTATAAATTTATGCCTGAATTGTATTTCTGCTTTCAACCCCATAAGCTTCTTCTTTAAGCTCAGATGCTACTGTATGTCTCTGCTTGTGCTGGAGAGGGTGCTAAACAAACCAAAGTTGACAATTTTGGTTTTGTATACCAAATTAAAGGCTGTCTTCGAAGCTGTCACTCCTATTCAAATCCACTCGGTGAACTACCAAATTAGCATTCTTTCAGTAAAGGAATCTGCTTGTTTAAACATGTGTCTTTAGAAAACAAGGAACAACACCATGAATCAGTACTTCTCAAAAATCTCGCTACAGTTCTGAAGGAATTCTGAAAAGGTGATTAATAATATTCACTAATATAGCTGGCAGAGTCTGTATTTTGAAGGTAAGGCTATACTAAAAATACATTTTCTATATAGGAGTAGGAGGAAGAATCATATGGTTAACTGGTTTTAATTTGGTTTGAATTATCATCCTATTATATAAAGATTATTCAGGAATCTAAATATTGGCTTTCTGAACGTATGGGAAATTCTGTTTAAGGATAGATGTTCCAGTGCTCTGGTACAAGATAATCAAAGCCTGGCCCTATTTGGAGAATTTGATAGATACTTTTTTTTCTGTTCTGGCCACTTTCCTTGAAGCATACTAGCTGTACTTACAATAATAGATTTATTTACTGAGGGACCACTGTGCAGTAGACATTGTGCTAGATGCAATATATCTAGTCTCTCATTTAATCCTCACAATAAGCCCTTTGAGACAAGCATTATCTTCCAGTTTTTCAAATAAGAAAATTATGTCTGGAGTGTTAGGTGACTTGTATTTTGGAAAGTAGCAGTGGTATTTAAGTTTTATGATTTTGCAAACTACTTAATTTATAAGGGGAACAGATTTACATGTGAATTATGAGAACAGAAGAATGTATATATCTACACACACACATATAGAATGTATTCTCTGATTTAAAATAAAGATGATGTATATCCCTATTTTAATGATGCAGCTTCCTTTTTAAAAAAAAAAAAACTCTAGGACAGTTGCTGATTAATTAAACTGTCTAGGGAAAGGGAAACAAAAGTCAATACTCAAAACTGACAAGTATTCAAAGTTGGATATGAATGATTTCAGGAGTGGAGTATCAGAGAGTAGCAGCTTCACTGCCATCATTATGTAGCCTAATATATTCCAAGAAAATATTCTCACTGCCAATAAGATTATAGGGAAACTTTCCCCCAAAGAATTATAGTGTCAGTGTCTGGCAAACATTTGGTTCTCAATGAACAGTTGTCAATTAGGAGAAAATCAGAACCTAAAAATCTCATGTATTGAAGTTGTATAGGGTGTTGATTCACTTTCAAGTAAAAATGCCCTCACATCTCAAAGAGTATCTTCAAAACGAACAGACAGATAAAATAAAACAAAATACCTCAAATGCAGATCTTCATTAAGCATTTCCCTCCTACTGCAGAGTAGTTGTATTCCAGAATAATCTGCTATCCTTAGGGCCTGTTTCTCCCCAGGGACAAGGGCAGTTGTGTCAACTGTCCACACATCCACAGTGGCCCCCTTTAAAACACTTGTTTCAGGCACATGGAAGAACACTGGGCACACATGAAGCAAATATTGAGAGGAGGAGAATACATGAGCAAAAACTAGTGTATAGTATAGGGAGGGCAGAGTTGTGGGACTGGAAACTATAGAACAAAGGGAAGGAATGGCTGATTAAGAATAAAAGGAGACAAAATCAAAGGATCATTTTACATGAAGATGAAGATGTACCAAAATCTTCATCTGCTCCCCAGCAGTACCAATCTACAATAAGGTCTTATGTGGTGTATGTAGTGTGAGTTTATGACTGTGTATCCATGCCATCTTGCATGCAGGGTACATGATATAGACATTCAGGTGCACCATCACACATGTGCATTTCTGCTAAGATCTGCACATCTAATGGAACAACATAGCTTCAAATCCTGTGCATACCTGTAATTTTGTCTCTCACAAGTTTGCAGGATTCTATTTCACCAATGCTCCCGAAGAGACTCCTGAATTCTTCTTGGGTCATATTCTGGGGTAAATAGTTGACGATGAGGTTGGTTTTGCTGTCATCTGTGGTTGCCCCTGTTTGCATGGGAGAAGGACAGTTTCTGTTGTTGCTGGAGGGTCCATTGCTTGTATTGGATGTCGGACCATTTGACACCTGAGGCTCCATGGTGCTAATTATCTAAATAAAAATAAAAACAATTGAAAAAGCCTTTTGAAATCTCAGACACAAAGTCTCTTTTAAAAGTTTATTAATTTTTTTGAAAAGAAAGAGAAGAAGATAAAGCAAGATGGAGCAAGAGACTGGGTTGTGAACACAGCCAATTTAGAAGCATGTTTTTAACCAAAATGTTAAACTCCTCTTTCTATTTTTAGGCCAGCCCATAGATTTTGAACACAGACTAGAATGCAGTAGGAACTCTCCCATTATTTTGTTAATGAAAAGCTAATTCCTGTTTTCATTACACAATCACTCTCAGAAATGTATACTTAAGCCACACCAAATTATAATTAAAATGTAAAGTAATAATCATGATTAAAATTATAGTTCCATTAAAGCTGAAAAAGCTAAATATAGAGGACTACACTCACAAGATCAAATACAGTACCTGTTTATTAACTATCTCATAAAATAAAATGACATTAAATTAAGTGGGGTTGTTCAATATGGGAAGGGTTTAAATTTTCACTGATGCTTAATCACTGATCAAATTTTAGATTTTACAGGTACATTCTAGGGAGCTGCAAAGTCATCTAATGTCTTTTTTTTTTTAATCTAGCCATTCTGTTATTGTTTCTCCCAGACCTCTAATAAAACAAAAAACATGGAGGCAAACTTTTCTCTAGGTCTCCACGTTAGGTCCAGCACCGCCTGAGGCTGTCCACTCACATATTACTCAAAAAGGACTTTCTCTTGATTAAAATATTTAATTAAACAAAGATTTCTGGCTGGTGTGAATGTTCCAGGTAGCACGTATGAGAATAAAGAAATGAATGAATCCCTATCCTCAGGGAGCTTATAGTCTATAGAGGACACAGACAGGTAAACAGCTGGTATAGGGCAGTGATCATGCAATACAGAAGCAATTACTTCTGCTTATAGGATAGGGAGATTTAGGGACAGTTCTGAGAAAATGCTGGAATAGGGTTTTATATGAAAAATGAGTTTAAGCTCATGAAGTCAGGTCATGAAGATGCCCTGTATGGAATGACAAACATGGAGAATTGCAAAATTGCAGAGCCAGAAGGCACATAAGGGAACAAAATCTAGCTCAACACTCACATTCGAGATGAAGCCCAGAGATGTCCAGTTACTTCTCTGTTATCATAGAAAAATGGGGGCAAAGTCCAGGCCTGCACCCGGATTTCCTGGCCCCAAACGCAGCCCATAATTCGCAACTTTCCATTTTGTCTTACACCGTCCTCTATTTGTCCATCATAAAATGGCTTCCATCTCCTCAGAAACTGATCATCAACTCCTTGGAAATGAAATCATACTCTGCCACTTACTAGCTGTGTGACCTTGGCAAGGGACTTAAATCCTAAGAGTCTTCATTTTCCTCATTTGAAAAATGGGAACAATGCCACCGTATGGCAAAGCGGTAAGAACCGATCCAGTGATATGACTTATGTAAAGCACCAGAACAGTGGTGGGCACATAACCACAATCACTGATGTTTATTAGTTACTCTGCCAATCATCCAATGTGACTTCTCTCACTGTCTCCTCACAAGAAGGCAATGAAGCATATTCTAATATTCTCTATGTCTTATAGATGAGGAAACCAAGGCATAGCAGACATCTGATAACTAGTAGCTTCCATTATTATTACCATTTGCCTGCTCAGAGGATTTAGGGGGGAAGCATTTTCATTTACTATAACATACATGTAATAAAGTGTATAAATCTTAAGGGTACAACACAAAGAATGTTTACAAAGTGAACACAATTCACAACTGGGTAATTACCTTTCAGATCACAATACAGAACATGACTGGCACCCCAAATGCCTTTCTCAGGTTCTCCATCCCTGTCATTTACCTCACCCCTCAAAGGTAACCACTATTCTGAATTCTAGTCCACAGATTTGTTTTACCTATTTTTTTACCTTTATATACATGGACTCATACAACACATACTCTTTTGTGCCTTTTCACACATGTATGGAGTGTCATCTGCTCTGTTACATGTAACAATGCATTGTTCTTCCCACTGCTATAGCAATTTCCATTGTGTGGAAATATTACATTTTATTTATCTGTTGATGAACATTTGGATTGTTTCTAATTTTGAACTACTATAGATAATGCTGCTATGAGCGTTATGTACAACATTTTGGTACAAAAATGTACATATTTCTATTGGGGATAGTCCTAGGATTCTGTTTTTGGGATCATAGGGTGTATGTATATTTAGCTTCAGTAGATACTGCCAACAGTATTTCAAAGTGGCTGTATCCATTTATATTCCCACCAGCAGAGTATGAAAGTTCCAGTTGCTCCACATCCTCATCAATGTTCAGAGACTATTTTTTGTTTTTGTTTTTGTTTATTTTCTCATCTGAAGCAGAGTGGTATAGTAAAAATGGAATGAGTGTTTGAGTCAAGACAACAGGTGATTTAAAATCTGAGTTCTAGGCCAGGTGCGGTGGCTCACACCTGTAATCCCAACACTTTGGGAGGCCGAGGTGGGCAGATCACCTGAGGTCAGGAGTTCAAGACCAGCCTGACCAACATGGAGAAACCCAGTCTCTATTGAAAATACAAAATTAGCTGTGTGTGTGTGGTGGTGCACACCTGTAATCCCAGCTACTCGGGAGGCTGAGGCAGGAGAATCACTTGAACCTGGGAGGTAGAGGGTACAGTGAGCCAAGATTGCACCACTGCACTCTAGCCTGGGCAACAGGAGTGAAACTCCGTCTCAAAAAACAAAAAAACAAAAAACTTAGTTTTACCACTTATTAGCTGTGTGATCTGAGGCAGGTTACTTCAATACTCTGAGCCTCAGCTTCCTCTTCAGCAAAACTGGAATAAAAAGCTTGCCACGCAGGGTTATCTTCAGGATGAGAGATAATGTACATTAAATGTCTAAAATACAAAGGGCCCAGAGGCATCATAACTATTATTCCTCATCATGCCCCACGTAGGTGAGTGTTATTCTAATTCTTTCATCTTCTGATGGTCACAAATGATAAATGAAACAAAAAGGAAAACATGGCTCAAGAGGAGCCAAGGAAATAAAGCAGACTAAGAAAGATGGGGAGCATCTAAGATTCTTTACCATCATGTAAGTAATTTAAGTGGCTCCACTTCTCCCATCACCAGAATTTTCTTCTTGGCTTCAGGTCAACTTTAGGATTCTAGAAGGCTGGTCCAGACAGCAAGGAGAAAGCAAAAAGCTTCTGAGAAGAATCTTAAATCAAGCTCCCCTCAGGACTGATAGAAGTTGTACCCAGCAAAGCCTATTCAGCCACTTTGCCTTCGAGGCAAGGGTCCAGGAAAAGAATCAGGGAGATGGTCCCCAGGGAAGGAGGCATGCTAAAGGGATGGCATTACAGAGCATCAGCACAACTCCTGGCTAGGAGGCAGGTTTCAGCTCTGCCAAGCTGTGGGGCCTTCTGGGTCTTTGCAGTGCCTCCATTTGCTGTGTTGTCTCACTGCTTCACTGAGTCAGGTGTCCAGGCAACAAACATAAGAAGCACTGCCAACTCGATAATGAACATGAAAATCAGAATTTATCCATTCAGGAGGCCGGACTACTACATTCGATTTAATGGCAAAAACCCCCCAGGCCCACAATCTTTAGAAACTCTTCTCTGTTTTCTACCTTTTTCAGGTTACCCTTCTTTCAGCTCCCCAACAAACACCTAGAAAATATCCCACACCAAGGCAGCTTATTTGGTGCTAGTGATGGAGTATGTGGAAGAATTTCATGTTGAGATTCTGTGGGACCAAAACTCATAAAGGTCACCTGATAGTCAGGTTCATCTTTCGTTTTCAGACACGTGGTGAAAGCCAGCACTTGTCCATGTGAACATCTCACAGGTCCACCTCCTCCAGGAAGGCCTGTGAAGTAACAAGGCTGCAGCAAAGTAATTTCAGTCCCCGCATCAGCTTTGTGGCCTTCCTTGCATTCTATGTGGATTTCCTAATCTATGTTGACTCCAGGAGGTGAGTCCTGTCTGTAGATTAGACAGCCCAACTGGTCCCAACTAGCTTCTAAAAGGAGCCATGAGATACAATGCTCACTACTGAGCTACTTTAGCTGACCACATCTATAAATTAGGTCAAGTCATTCTCATCCAATGTAGATGGAGCTCTCTTTGCTCTGCATCTACACTACACAGTTATTCTTTTGTGTATCCAGAAGGAACTGATGAAAACACACAAATGGACACATACAAAGAGAGTTTTCTCAATAAAAGTGTGCTGTCTGAAAGCTGAGAAACATTTGCAAATGTGTTAATATACATCCTATAATAAGACCCCTCACAGGTCTTAATGATGCATCTTAGGATGCAACACAGGCTGAAAAAAAAAATCAGAAATGTAAAACATCAGAATCAAATCTGACATGTGAATGAAACAAGAGGATTTTAAAACATTACCTGGAAAATAAGAGAAGTTGCCAAGATGTAAAGATATTAAATGCACGAATATGAAACTACAGCATTTTAAGGTTACATGATAGACCTCAAAGACAGGACACCTGTTCTCTCTGCTTGGGAAACAGAGGGACAGAACAGGAGTAGAAAAGATGTGTGTTGGTAGAAAGCACATCCTCCAGTAAGTACAGAGGCTGGCTGGGCAAAATCAGAACACTTGCTTCCTCAGGCTAACGCCTTTGATATTCTAACAGCACAATTTTCATTGCAAATAAATATATCAGTTACTCAAGTGTGCATATGTACTTTAATGAAACATTCTGTGTGGGTCTCACAGCCAACTTTGCAGCTGACCAGGTTCCAAGCCCCTGACTTGCCCTCCTTTCCTCATTTGAATAGCAATTAAGAACAGAATTACAGTCAGCATCCAGGATAGATCATTGAGGAGGTTCAGTTGACTTCGAACTCTAATGGATGTACAAAGCACTACATTAAATCTTTTATGTTTCTGTGATATATTTTAAGAAACATTATACAGGCAGAAAATTTCAGGGATAAACTATTAGAGCGGTGCACAATAACGTAGGCACTCAAATCCTGTCATCGTAAATGTCGATGGTTTGAATGACTAATTACTCACACTCAATGCATTAACCTCACCCCTCCCACCACTCTTTTCTGCAAAATATACAACAAAAGCAAGAGGGAAGGCTTCAGACGTGCAGCTGCCGGATCATCACCAGGGTCGTTTATATCTGCAGAGGGGAGGTAAGGAGCAGAGGCTCAGCCAGCCTCCTGCTCTTGGAAACTAAAAAGCCACCCCTCTGTTCCCTTCTGGCACCTCTCTCAACACAATCCAGGCTCCTTTTATCTACCCAAGTTACCTGTAACACTAGTTCCTGGATATGTCAGGTCATACGCACATTTAAAAAGGGTTTACTTCCACTATGGCTAGATCTGGGTATGTTAGATAAACAGAGATGGAGCCGAGATCTGTGCTGAACTCTGGGGATACAGAGATAACAAAGACAAAGAGCAGACCCTTCTTGAATTCAACAGATACCAGAGAACATTAGGGTCCATGAAGCCCAACCCTGTAATTTTAAAGTGGAGGACCAGAATGTACTTCAACAGACTTGTGGAGACATGTCTACCTCCATACTTTTCTGAGTATAGCACTTTACAGTTCATTAAAATTCATGACCTGAACTGTGAGGTCCACAGCACAGAGATCACATCTGTTTTGTTTATTACAGCATCTCCTGAATGTAGAATAAAGCCTAACAATCGGTAGGTCCCAGATAAAGGACTGTAGAATGAATGAAAGTCCTTACATGTCCATTAGCTTACTGGATCTCTCAAACAACCCTGTGAAGTACAAGCCAATAAAGTACTAATATCATCCCCATTTTACAGATAACAAAAGAACAGGACAGGTAAGCAACCAGTCACCTACTGAGCACCTATTATATGCCAGGCATACACTTAAATATTCTTTCAAATGCAGATTTTTTTTCAATTTTTAAAATTGTGGTAAAATACACATAGCAAAATTTGCCAACTAAATAGTTTTAAAGTATACAGTTCAGTGGCATTAAGTACCTTCATATTGCTTTGCAGCCACCAGCAGAATTCTTGTCATCTTGTAAGTCTGAAACTCTATACCCATTAAACAATACCTCCTCATTCCCCTACTTTCCCCAGCTCCTGGCAACTACCATTCTACTTTCCATCTCTATGTCAAATGCAGATTTTAAGAAGCACTCATTAGCCAGGTGTGGTGGCTCATGCCTGTAATCCCAGCACTTTGGGAGGCCAAGGTGGGAGGATCACCTGAGATCAGGAGTTTGAGACCAACCTGGCCAACATGGAGAAACCCCACCTCTACTAAAAATACAAAAATTTGCCAGGCATGATGGCGGGTGCCTGTGCCTGTAATCCCAGCAACTTGGGAGGCTAAGGCAGGAGAATCACTTGAACCTGGAAGGCGGTGGTTGCAGTGAGCCGAGATCACGCCACTGCACTCCAGCCTGGGTGACAGAGCAAGACTCCACCTCAAAAAAAAAAAAGCACTCATTCAAGCAGGAGGGTTAAAGCTTTGGCTGGCATGAGTCTACTATTGAATGCTTTGGCCCTATATCCTCAGAAAACCTATTGAATGCCTTGGCCCTATATCCTCAGAAAAATGTACACTCAAACAGCATTTTATGTTCACTAAAGCCAATCTATTATCTCCAGATTGAAAGTTCCCAAATTGTTCCTTCCCATTCGAACCTGCAGCATTTTTGGAGCACCTCTGTGTAGACTAGCACTCTTTCACTTCTTGATAGGAAAGTTTAGAATACGGCCTTACCCCAGCCCTTCCACTGACCTACCCTCTGCCCTCTACCTACCTCACACCAAGGTGGCTGAGAACTGTTAATTAAGCATGTTGGCAGCATATAGTGTCAATCATCTTCACTCGGCCCCTCCACACTTTTATCTCAGCCCTATTTAATGAGTCAAAAGGAAAAGAATAGAACCTGGTGGTTCAGGGCAGCCTTTGCTCTTACTGGTATAAAAAGGACTCAGTGAGATAATGTACATGGAGCACTCAGCACTATTCCTGGCATGGTAATCCCTCCACAGATGCTAGTGGTGACTGATGCTAATATTATTAGAAGAGAACAAGGAGAAAGATAAAAACCAATACCTAAGAAACTAGGTTAAGAGTTAGACAAGAAAAGCTGATTAGCAATATAATCAAAAGTAAAACCTTTCCTTCCTTCCCAAACCACTCTTTTCATATGATTTCTTGCTCTCAGAATTCATTAATTTACTAATCAAATAAATATTTATTGATGAAGGGTCCACATGTCAGAGAAGAGACAGCAGCATGTCTTGTGACTAGGAAAATCTTTGAAGTATATTAAGCAAGACTATTCTAAAATCTAAAAGTGTACGGATGTACTAAAAATGTATTTAAAGCTCCCTTAAAACTTTTTTTCCTTCCTTCCTGCCTTCCTTCCTTCCTTCCTTCCCTTTTTTTTGACTGGGTCTCTCTATGTTGCCCCAGCTGGACTTGAACTCCTGGGCTCAAGTGATCCTCCCACCTCAACCTCCTGAGTAGTTAATATTTATTCCATTAGCTCATGACTTTCTTACACCTCCTTCCATCCTCCACTCTTCACAAAGCTTTAATTTTCTCAAGTTTGGGGCAATCAGGCTAGAGTTACAGGATTGATCCCCCTCCTCACAGTGGAGGAGAATCATTGTTGCTACCATAGTCTTCTTACCATCCTGCCAACCACACCATATTGTGTCCTTGTCCTAATATTTTCCCTAAAAATGGTAGTATAAAAATAAAGATGGAAAGTCCACAAACTGTTCCTTCCCATTCAAGCCTGTGACATTTTTGGAATACTTCAGTGTAGACTAACACTCTTTTACTTCTTAATAGCAAGGTTTAGAACCCTGTCTTACCCTATCCCCTCCACTTTACCTACATACGACCCCACGTTATTGTTTTGCATTTAGATATTTTAATCTAGTTAACCTACACCTACTTTCAGGATTTACTTCATGAGGCAAATCAAAGGTTACAACTTTACATTACAGGAATCTGACCTGATACAGAACTCAGTACTGACATTCATCATCTAAGAGCCCAGTGCAGGGTTCTTGTACACCTGTCACCATACTTTTGGCAGTCCTTAACTCCTGGTTTTCTGGCGGAGATATAGCCTCACTGCACAATTCATGCGAAAGGATCAAGAGGAAAGAACCAAAGAAGGTCACAGAACATGATGTTTCTTTTACAAATACCCTTATCCTCTACTTTCAGCTACCTTTAAAAGTCAGTATTCCCAGAAACGAGAAAGATGTTAAAGGAATGTACTGATTGCAAACATGTCTCAGGTGTGTACACCTGAGACTCATGCATGTATTTTATTAAATATTTTAATGAGTATGTAAAGGTGTTTTCTTTTACCATGTTGGAAGGATTTTTGAAAATATATGTATAAAGCTAACCCTTATGTAATAGAACAAGCTCTCTCAGGTGCATGAAGAATAATGTTTACCAAGGGCAGTCACTGAATTGAACCATTAAAGAAATAGATTTAAATTATTAATGAGAACAAAAATAAAAGTCCTAATTCTCTTTGTAGGAATTTCCCACTTAACCCTTGTAAAATTCTGACATGTAGTATGTTAGACTCTGGTGGATGCAATAGCCCAGACTACTGCATCTCACCCACCTTTCCAAGCCTGAAAAACAAATTCCCAAAGTTAGAAAATTACACAGCAGGCTCTGTGTTCCTGAAGACAGACATTATTTTTTTTTGTAAAATTCCTCACTTCTCTTCTTGCTCCTTAAAAGATACTAAAAATGTCGTTACAATTCCCCAATTTCATATTTCTTTAAAGTGTCTTAGATCAGCTCATAAAATCTATTCTCTCCCGTCCTTCTTTTCAAGAGGCTTTAATTCGCTCAAGTCCCTTCAGGTTAATATTTTTTTTTGAAATGCAACACTTTCCTGGTTATGATTCAACTGTGAAGGAGACATATGTTATTAATGGGACCCAAGGGGAGGAGCTGAGACTGATGATCTGATAACTCTAGGAAAAGGGAACTTGGAAATACCACCCTTCCAACCAAATTACAGGTGATGACTCACAAAGACCACTGGACTAGGGGACTGTGGCTAAAGACTGCACTCATGTTTCCCAAAACCATTCATACCATGTTTCTGTAGCTTCTGCCAGAAGGTAACTAGAAAACTCTAGAAAAAAATATTTAATTCCATCCAAGAAACACATGCTGACAGCTTAATAATACCTTTGGGCAGAGGCACAAATAACCTGAAAGACCTATTTACTCTGGGAAGTTATGTGGTAATAAATTCTCAGCATATCCTTAAAACAAGTGTATTCAATTCAACACAAGTTTATTGAATGCAATTATAAGCCAAGGCATTCTTCTAGAAGGTGGGAAAACAAAAATAATCTGGTCCCTCCCTGTAGAGGGTTGAAGCTGGGAGGATGGCAGAGGAGGGCAGGCAAACAAATAATTCATTAAAATCAATTGTATATCCCTTTGTTTTAAGCAGTCTCCTTCAGAGTTTCTCAAATGACACCCCCTCCTCAGCAAAAGCATATAAATCGTATACACTCAGACTAATCCTACCTGTTTTGATACTGAACTGACTGTCCTTTTCCTGGTATAAATGCCTACATCCTAAACAAATGACTTGTTTATTTGTCAACTCTTTGTTTTGTTTCTACAATGAGAATATAGCGCTTTATAATCTAAAAGGAACTTATATTTGTAACAATGAGGTAAGCGTGAGGCATCCCTTCTTTCAAACAGCAACTTCTGCTCTGGAGATGAACACCAGGCATGCCAAAAGTATTCTCAGTGGTGGTAGTCAGGGCTTTTAAAAAATCAGCAGCCACTGGAGAGAACAAGAGGCATTAATACTTAAAATAGCAGGGCCAGCACGGATATGAAAAGCATAATCAAAATTTAATTTCTCATAGGCATCATTCTCAAATTCACGGAAATCCAAGTTTTAATCTTCTTCCCCAGACACATCACACCCATTTCCCCTCCTAAATAAATACTGGCCTCCTTTACATTTTACAGTGTTTCTTTAGAGCTTCATTTTGGGCCTAAGATGATTTCCTGGTGTGTCCATCCTGATGCAGTTCTGGTAAGACCCCTGGGTATTTGGTTTTAACTGACTTTTACAACAAACTCTCCATAGCTGAGGGACAGCTTGATCATTCAGCACATTATAAAGATGAGGGAACGTTTCCTTCATCCCCCACAATTCGGTTCTCCTTTCCAAAATGGCCAGTAAATAAATACAGTACCGTACTTTCAATAAGCTTTCTTTGTTTAAGTCAGATTTGAAAAAGACAAATGTTTGCATTTTAATAAAAATACAATTTTGTGGGCAAGCTCAGCTTTCCTGCAAAAGTATCAGCTCTAATAAAAAGAAAATCGATTGGAAAACAATTTCTTCCCATTCTGCTCCCTAAGACCCTCTGAACTCTGAAGGTTTAATGTGGATAAAATAACTAAAATGCCTAATAATAATCTCTGGATACTTGTTGGGATGGGAACCAGTTGTGATGGGAAATACATTATCTTCATCTTCCATACAAAGAACAGTCTTTCTCATAATTAATGAATCATTTGAAAAACTGCCCACAAACTGATTAAGCCAGACTTATCTTTCCAATTAAATGCATAAACAATAGCCAATGGCACAATTCATGTAAACATTAGTATTGTATATTTATAAAATGCCTGGCTAGTGGCTCAGTCGCAGCAAACTCTTGAGGTTTACTTGTAAACAGCAATGTGCTATTCCACATATGTATCATGATCTAAAGCATTAGGTCACATCTCTGAAATTAAGTTTTATGCACACTCAGATTAAATTCTTCAGAAATCTACATAGAAATATATTTTATTTTGAAAATTAACACTTGTTTTCTTAACATAACCAGGGTGAGGAAGAGGGGAGGAGTAAAAGGGAGTAGAGGGAGTTTGTGTCTAGAAAAATCTGTGTAGAAGTCTTGTTCTTTTTAAGAGAAATTGTGTAAGGTCAATGGCTCTTCTAATTGTGCAATTCAAAAAATTAAGTCATTCTGAAGGTGAAGATAATAAGTGAAATAAAATGGTTCTTAGCACCTCAATGCATATATAACTGGCCGTGATAAATTATACTCATGGACAATTCATATAGCCTCATATAGCTACATGTTCATTCATGAAAAGATCCTGAATGTTATTCTGATAGAGTAGTTTTAAATCTGAAAATTACTTTATCACACTTGAAAGTTTATTGTTAATTTCTCCCTTCACTGCTTCTTTCTTTCTTTCTTTCTTTCTCTTTCTTTCTTTCTTTCTTTCTTTCTTTCTTTCTTTCTTTCTTTCTTTCTTTTCTTTCTTTCTTTCTTTCTCTCTCTCTTTCTTTCTTTTTATAAGAGATAAATGTTAGAAAAAAAGAACATTTTGACTTGATAGGAGAACTTTATCCCTCAAACTTCCTCTGAGGGCCAGTTGGATACCATTGCCCCTAAACATTCCCTGGGAAGGTAGTGGAGGCAGGAGTAAAACTGGACTCCACCAAATCAATGTTGGTGAGAATTCAGGCCTGGGTGAGGAGAAGTGTGCCTTTGAATTATTTGTGGGCAACATGTTTACATGGAAACTAGAAATTTAAGGTTTGCAACTGTCAAGTTCTAAGATGCAGTGAAATAGTCTTTCTCATAATTATGGGTATAAGGATAAATTGGCACATCTCTTCTTATGTTCATATTCTTGGACCCACTGGTCCATTCTGAAACTCAGAAAAGAATCCAAAATTCTGCAGACCAGAAGTACATACAATGAGTTATATTAAGAGGAGTGAGAAAAACGGAAACAGCCCAGGAGTCTAACAAGGGGGATGGCTAAATAACTCATTGTGCAGTTTTTTGATACAGTATTCTGCAATTGCTAAAGTTATGTTTATAATGGGTTTTTATAATGTGAGAAAATGTATATGATCAATGTAGAAAAAGAAGTGAAATAAAAGATTGATTATCTCAATTATATAAACAAGTACAGAGTAGGAGGGAAAAATAAAAAACACTAGAATAAATGGCAGAATTACAGGTGATTGTTACACTTTTCTCCATCTTTATTTGTCAACTCTGTTTTGTTTTTACAGTGAGAATACAGCAGTTTTATAATCTGAAAGGAAGTTGTTTTTTAAAAAAGAAAGAAAATGTCAAGTCCTTCAAACCAGTTTGGAGTCACAGTATTAAAAATGATTCTGTCTCCTCCCCAGAGCTATCCTGTAGGATCTCTCCTTGGACACACTCTGTTTGTTCCTACATTAGAGTACTCATGGGAGCCCAAATGAATAAAAATCACATTTCTAGAAACAGTCTCTGGTTCAGTCTCCCCTTCACCTAAATCACTGTGAATTAGCAAGGTTACAATCTTAAGTCTGCCTATCGCCCGGCAGCAACCTTCATGAGGACAGCAAGGAGAGAAGATGATTTATAAGAAAACCATTCCCTGGATCAGGGAGTGAAAAGTACTGATCCGTTCTAAAAGCTCCTGCTGACAAACTCTGATATTATGAACATTTTGCACTTGGACAAAAGCTCCCACTTTTGTTAATTACATGGTTTGAGCAGGAGTCTGCTTTCAGGATCTGCCCAATCACACAACAGCCATTTATTTTCCCAACTGCAGCTGACAAAATTTCCCTGATCTCTGTTCTGTGCTCCATCTTCAAGGACATCTTGTGAATGTATGACACTGTCAAGTGGCATTCCATACCACGCTTTTTAAGCTTCTCTCTCTCTTTCTTGCATTTGAACATCCTTCTAATACGTATCGATTAAAAATATCATGAACAAGAAGCAAGCAAAGTAGAAATGGAAAAAAACAAACAAAATCCAGAAATCACAAGTATCGGAATACTTACGTCTGCTCTGAGGCAAGCACTTTTTATGACATTAAACCACTAATATTCTCTGTCCTCTGCATGATGGGTTTGCTTTTGTTTTCAATATTAGGAAAATGGGTGCCAAATCTATAGTTTTCTGTGTGTAAAGAGCATGGGACCTCACTGCAAACTTCTGGTTTTTTTTTTTTTTTTAAACATAAATTTTACTTCTGAATTTATCTTTTTAAAATCCTCTTAGTTTCCCTTAATTTCACTTTCTTCATTGTTCTATTTGTTTGTTTGTTTGTTTTGAGACAGAGTCTTGCTCTGTCCCCAGGCTGGAGTGCAGTGCTGTGATCTCTGCTCACTGAAACCTCCGCCTCCTAGGTTCAAGTGATTCTCCTGCCTCAGCCTCCTGAGTAACTGGGACTACAGGCATGCGCCACCAAGCCCAGCTAATTTTTTTGTATTTTTAGTAGAGACAGGTTTTCACCATGTTGGCTAGGATGGTCTCAATGTCTTGACCTTGTGATCAGCCCTCCTCGGCCTCCCAAAGTGCTGGGATTACAGGTGTGAGTCACCGCACTCGGCCCATTGTTCTATTTTTTTAAAAAAACTCCTACTGTATGTATTTTTATGATTTGCCACATAAAAATAGAATTTTAGATTATAAGAGAATAAATAAGTTAGTATTTCTGTCTTCACAATCTTTTGCCTTTTCAAAATATGCTTTTGAAAGGTCACACTCACTAATTGGGCAAAAGTCAAGTTGGCATTTTTAAAAATCAAAAATAAAACTTTTAAATTATAAAAAAGACATGATAAAATTTCAAAAATTACATTTGTATTATAATTCAAGCTGCATAATCTACAATTCTCAGATAAGACCCTTTTAGAATTAATTTACTATGTCCCTAAGAATATTTAGTATATGATACATGTATATTATCATGTATATTTATCAAATGGATATAATACATGTATTTTGAAACTAAAACATTACTTTTCTGAGTAGGGTAAGCTTGTCCTTTGAATCACAGATACAAAGAAAATTTGTTTGGTAAACTCTTGCAACTCTTAATATATTCTTTTTATCCCAGAAATTTACCTTTTTTAAAAAGTAAAATGTTAACACATATTCAGAATCATCCATTGTCAATTAGAGCAATCTAAAATTTCTTTAGTTACAGGTATATATTTGAGGGCAAGTTATGAGACACAATTTAATGATGTTAATTTAGTACTTCATTGGAGCAGCCCCTCCCCCAAACTGAAGTTAGCTCTCAAAAGAAGGAACAAAAGCCAAGCTAAGTTTCCTAACATTAATGAGTTCCTTCGATGGGCCAGAAACCATTATGTTGAATGCCAGAGATATGAAGGAGAGAGAAAGAGTTCCTGCCTGCAAGGAAGTAAATAAATAAGTAAATAAGAAATTACTGTCTAATGTCATAAGTGTAGTAATGGAAAAAGTACATACAAAGTGCCTGGAATATGACAAACACTCAGTAAAGGGAAATCCTGTTATAATGCTGATTAAAAAGTGCTTTGAGTTACACAGGAAAATATTTAGGCAAGTAATTATCATTAAGTCCTTCCAATGGTACTAATAAGAAATGGTGAGAGGTGTCTTTACATACATCACTTCACTTAATTCTCACACAACTTTGAGAAGTGGGTATTGTCATTCCTCTCATTTACAGATGTAGAAGTGCTGTCACTCTACACATGATGGAGTAATGAGTCTTCAGGCAGAGTCCACTGTCACTTAACTAGGACTGTAACTTGAACCCAAGGCTGAAACCAAATTTGTGCCCTTTCTTCAATCTCTAAGTCTGAGGACTTTTCCTATCACTATGAAATGCAACCTAGTAATCTTAGAGAATGTAAATTATCTAACCCTATTAAAATCAACTAGCCTGTGTATCTGCTGTTTATTAGTCAGTAAATACTGCCCAATAAATGGGTGTTACAGGAAAGACCATAATTCAAAATTCAAAATTCTACATGGTATAATGGAAAAAGCATGAGATTTGGAGGTGATCCGACTTGGGTTGGAAATCCACCACCAGCCTTGACCTTGGTTTAGCCAGTTCAGACTCTCTGCAGTGCAATTTAAGTTTACTCATTTGAAAAATGTGAACAATTCTATCTGTCTTGCAGGGTTGCTGTGAGAAAAACAACAAATCTGAAGGCACCTGGTTCAGAGCTCAGTACACAGTAAGCACTCAGTACATGTTCATTTTCCTTGTCCAAAAGGTAACATTCTGAAATATGTGCCCATTAAAATGTGCTGCAGGTGGCAAAGTTGACTAATCTAAGAGCTGGTAAGATTTATCCTTGGAATTTAATTTCTGAAATAGAAAAGTATACTTAAAAACATTACTACTCATCACCTATGCCAATAGCTATTCATCTTCACAATGCTCCACAAACATCCACTAATAAGCTCTCACAATAATGCCAAACCAGTAAACACATAGCAAAGGGGGAGGGGCTATGTGGATTCTAAAAAAAGAAATAATGAAAGTAGCATGTTTGACACTTACAAACACAATTTCTGGTATCTTTTGCCCTTTCAAAAAGCCATCCACTGTGAATGGCCCAAGTGAGGTACTTCAAATGTTAATAAGAGTCATTAGGGTTTCTGCTTTCCTACAAGGAAAACCATCATGTTTTCCTGGGAAATTTCAGATCACTGCCACAGTGCACTCTGCATACTGACAGCAGAGGGCTTTTCCGGCTCCCCACAAGGAAACTCAGGGTGGAAGAGCAGGGTTGTTCTTGGTCCATCCTCCACTTGGACTGCTCCTTTCTTACTGTATACCCCAATAAGCAGCTAAACTGACAGAATGCACTTCCAGAGGATTTTTCCAGGGCACAGTCAGAAAGGTGTGGTGGGAAGTGTAGAGATAACAGAGCAAGTGTCATTCCCCCTGAAGAAATGAGACTCTTACAAAGCCCTTACAAAACCCTCACTTACAAAATAATAAAATAATTTTTTATAATAATTTATAATAATTAAATTACATGCTGGACTCAGAGGATTTTGTAAGTACGTTCACACTCACCACCCCACTTAATTTTCCTGAAGATCCTGAGAGATAGGTGGTGTCTTCCCTTGCCATCACTTGCAGTTTACAGGTGAGCAAACTAAGGGTTAAGGAGCAAATGAAAGGTAAAGCTAACTAGCCAATATTCACATGGTGCAGAGCCTGGATCTGAACTGACATCTTCTGGTCACTGACTCCCATCTTCCTTCTTTACCCACTACAAGTTCCATAAGCCCTGGAATGCACATTCCAGGCCACAGCCTTCTGTAGGCTTCTGCAGCCAGCAATGACAAACCAGAACACACTGTGTTCTCTCCTGTGCCACACTCTGCACATAAGCACTCCCTTGGCCTGGAAAGCCCTCCTCTCTCTGCCATCAGACCTAGCATGCCCCTTCTCCAATCCCCCATCATGGCTCTTACCTTTGTCTCTCACACACATTTCCATTACGGACATGTGCCACATAGCATTGAAACTCTCCAGCCTCCTATCTTTCTCTATCACTGGACTGTGAGCTCCTTGAGGACTGCGACTGTGTTTGATTCATTTGTAATCCCAGGGAACAGCGCAGAGCTCATGATTTTGCTGGTAGAATAAATGAATAAATGGATGACTCTCTAGGTCCTCACCTGCTTTCTATAGCCAAATCTGCTTCCCTTGCCTGTTCATCACCACTTTGCTCTCACCATAAACCTCGCTTATCTCTCCTCTTCAGAATCAATGCAAAAGTAAGAGTGAATTCATTCTTTTAAAGCTATATTGCCCTCATCATTGTTGTCTCACTCAACTTCCTTCAAACTATCCCAAGAGGCTGTTTTCAAAACCTAGGGCCTTCCATTTTCCAAGTAAGGCCATGTTTACAGCCTTTGTTTCTTCATCTCCACATAGGAAATTAGATCTCCTCTGTTTCAGGCCTAAACTCATATTTTATTTCCACGTTGAGTCTGAATTTGGCTGAAATCTGAAGTACCATCTTGAGGTTCACAGCCCTGCAGAACATTTCTACCTTTAAGAGTTTCTGTAAGTCACAAAGCCAAAGCCAAAGCCAAAGCCAATGGGGGCTCTTGACATTTTCCTGCAACAACTATTAGATCTGGGCACGCCTGGCATGTTATTTCTTTTAAATAAGTGAATAAATAAATTATCACATAATCACTTCTACATCCATTCAATTAACATCAATTCAAACATTTATTAAATACTAATTGCATAGCATAATAGTTAAGAAAACAGTCACTAGAGCTTGACTGCCCAGGTTTAAATTCCTGTTTAGCTGTGTGACCTTGGACAAGTCACTTAACCATTCTGTGTCTCGGTTTTCCAAATGTAACTTGGGGCATATCAATAGGATAATGTTATAGGCTTCACAGAAATGTGGTTCACAGGAATGTGGCAAAGATTAAATCTATTACTGTTGGATAACTGAGTTCCATGGCACTTGATCACTGCCCTCTAGGAATTTAGTCTTGGAAGGTTAGTAGACATTTGAAAACAAAGTTCCAGATGCAGTGAGCCAAGTACCATAATCTGAATGCCTTTGGCAGTATGTCCCTTCCATGTCTTTGCATATATGTCCACTGAAATGCTTTCGCCATCACCATCTAAATTACCCTGCCATTTTGCAAGACTCCCTGGAGTCCACCTCCCTGACCTACATAGCTTCAGACAACTCCTCTCTCTCCTCTGTCCTGGTACTTACCACCCTATATTGAGTCGCTTTTTACCTGCCTGTCTCCCCACTGACAGGGAATGCCTTGAAAATAAGGCCTGAATTTTGGTTGACTTCTTACTCCCAGCAGGCAGTACATGGGGAATTCAACCAATGCCCACTGAATGGATCAGCTATCAGAGGCAGGTGCAGGGTGCTAGGAGAGTTTAGAGGCAGAGCACACGGGGACATAGGAGGAGACATCCTTATCTCCAACCCATCAGGCTTCTTTCTCAGCATGCTGAGATAATCGTAAGAGGAATGGGTGACTCTTTATTTTAAAATGCTTTTTTTTTAAGCGTTCTCTTACTCTTCCTGCTCTGTTTATTTTAGATGAGTGTAGCCATCAAGATTAAAACAAATGTGAACTAGTGATCAAGGGGGTCAAATAAATTCTGAGTGAATCACAATACTAACATGTCACTAACCATAAGAGGAAAAAAATATTTAAAGTTTCATTCAGTGCCCTGTACAAAAAGTGCATTGACAAATATTTGGAAAATCATTCTTTTATTCTTAAATGTGTTTCATGGGGGAGTTTTGTTTTGTTTTTAAGGTAATTTCAGGTCTACACATTGCTAATGAAAACAAAGGAGGTTTGGGATGAGAATAAACTGTGCTTTTTTCTCTCTTTCTCTTCAATCTTAATTTTAATCAGGTAAATTGATTTTAATCAGTGAAATTTAAAAGTTTAATTTTAATCTTTAATTTTATGTAACAGTATACACAATGGAGACAGGAGATACAATACATAAAGGTTTATGTCTACATTCTAAAACTAGTGCTTTCCAGTTGCTCTCACCAGAGCATCAATTAGGTTTATGTATAATTCCAGTTAGCACAGGAGTCCTTCCTTGAAATTTTTGACATATGAAAATAACCAAATCATCCATCCCCTTCATCCCCCACTAAAAAGTAAATACTCTAACTTATTACTAGAAAGAATTGGACTCAGGATTTAAGACTCCAGAGCCATTTTAACCAAGTGCTTTTCTTCACAGAGCCCCAGGCCTCTAAAAGCCTGTGACACCAAGAGGATGGGGCCAACACAGTCTTTGACAGAGACCAGTCTCAATCATACTGATTTACAGCAAATCTAATTTTATTTTCTTCACAGTCCTTTCTGAGATGACATATCTTTGGTTTTGAGATTATCTGCTCACTTTTTTGAAAGTTATAGAATGGGAAGTAGCTCTCATTTTTCTCTTCTCTCCCTGTGAGCCCCAAAATAAATTACCAATACCTAAAATGCACACCCTAGGGGGACTGAGCTTATTTTAAAAATCTTCCTTTATTAGATGCCTACTAGGTGCCGGGCCCCGATTCAGGTTCTTTACACATGTTAATTAGTTCATCTTCTAAACAAGCTTTGGAGGAAGGTATTATTAGCCCAATTTTACAGATAAGGAAACTGAGGCTCAGACAGGCTAATGACTTTACCAAGACCCCACTACAAGTAAGTGAAGGAAAAAAACACCCCATTTTGCAGACTCCTAAGATGCCCTTAACCAGCAGAACACTCATGGAAAGGTAGAATCCTATGATAATGCCAAGGCTAACTCACCTTCTAGGTTCAGGCTCCTGCAAGGAGCCATCAGGAGATCTTAACAGCCTTAATTGAGAAGACATTCTGGCTGACCCTGTTCTTAGTTGAATGATTGGCCAAATCCTCCTCCTGACCCTCCTGGAACATTTGTCCCATTTCACAGAATAGGACCTCTCTTCAAAGGCTGGGACCCCTGGCCTCTTTATGAGTTCTCTATCTTAAGTTTTCCTGAGGCTCAGACACCTCAGTCCAATTGTCCAATCATTCCACAGATGACCACCTTACACCACATGCAGGTCAGGCAAGCCTGTCTCCAAGAGTTAGTAGTTGGACATATGAAGCTCAGCCTTTCAGAGTAGGGCATTGACGGTTCCAGCTCATCAAGCAGAAGCAAGGCACTGGCTGAACTATTGTGGCCTCACTGTGTGCCACAAACAAGGACTCGTTAGTGTAACTCTCTAATCTAGCATCTTTTATTTTTTAAACATCATTTCACTATGTGAAATTATAAAACACGACATAATATATAATATCTACTTTTATTTTTTTTTTTTAAATAAAGATACAGAGTCTCTGCCACCTAAGCTGGAGTGCAGTGGTGTGATCACAGCTTACTGCAGCCTCAAACTCCCGGGCTCAAGTGATCCTCCTACCTCAGCCTCCTGGGTAGCTAGGACTACAGGCACACACTACTATGCCATGTTCTACTTACTACTTACTTACTCTATTCTCTGTCTTCTTCCTCTAAAATGAAAGCTCCATAAAGGCAAGGACTTGTCTTAGTCACTGCTATCACCATTACCTAGAACAGTGTCTGGCAGGCACTCAACAAAAATTTGAAGAATGGGACACAAATTAATATTGTATGATAACAATAATGATGATGATCATTATCACTTTATATGCCAAGTAACTGTTTTAAATCCTTAATATTCATTGGTCCATCACATCCTCACAACAACCCTAGTTTACAGATGAAAATGTTGAGGCATAGGGAGTGGAAATGATTTCCCCTAGGTCACAACTGATAAAGCCAGGATTTGAATCCAGGTAGTCTTGATCAAAAGTCTCTATTTCCTTGGGAAGTTGAAGCTGCAGTGAGCTGTGATTGCACCACTGCACTGCAGTCTGGGTGACAGAGTGAGACCCTATCTCAAAAATATCCCTATTAATAACCACTAGGCTAAATGTTTCTCATTAATTCCTACCTTTTAAGGGATGAGTAAGATAAAATAGGAGACAGAACATGGGCTTTGGAATGAAACAAACTAGGTTTTAAATTCCCAGTCTGATATTTTCCTAGCCATGTAACCTTGTACAAGTTACTTAAACTACGTTGTCCTCTTTCTTCAAAATGGGAATAAAAATATCTGTTTCTTAGAATCGTTGTGAGATTTAATGAGATAACCTAAGTAAAGTTCTTTCTGCAAAGTCTGACACACACATTACATAAAGGGTCACTATTATTGTGATGTGTCATTGTTAACTGCGTGGTACAGACAGCAAGTGACATAAAGGAGTCTAGAGGAAAGAAGAATTACTGAGGAATTACAGGTGAGTCATGGTGATCAGGGAAAAAGTTTAATGTAAATAGATATACTCAAGATCTTCAGCTCAAAGTTACAGAACTGGGGTTGGTGAGCAATAGCTGTGTCAAAACCAGTCTTCACAACAAGGGGGATTTGGGTCCAATATCCCACTCATAAGCTAGGGGGCACCTGATGGGAACACATTATGAAACACCTAATTAATATCTGACTACATCAGTTAACAATCAATTACTGAGCACCTACTTGGTGCCAAGCATAAAGATAAACTCAGTGCTGATTGTTGAGGCAGTGGTGAAACCTAGAAAAATAAACATTTGATTATGGAGTGTGGAAGACCAATGATGGAATGATGCTGGCAGTGTTAACAGAGATGGCTACAACCCACAGTGAGTTAAGGCAAGCCTTTCTGGGTGACACAGGCCTCCTATTTGTCTCATGAAGCCAGGTGAAGAAAGCAGAAAGATGTTGGAGACCGAGGGATCTGTGTGAGCAACAGTAGGGAACACCGTGGTGCAGTTCTACAGTGGAGCATGAACAGAAGGCAAAGAGACCCAAGATGGGAGGCTGGAAAGGAGAGGAGTCTGGCCACAGAGGGGCTCCTGGGTTTTGTGAAGCTACCTAGACTTGGTCCTGAGCCACAGATGAATTAAGTAGCCATCTCTGAAATCTCATCTTAATTGTGTGCTTATAGCAAATACACTGTTTCTCCATGAAACACAAACAAAACAGCACTGGGAGAGTGAAAAAATACATTATTTTTAGGCTTACTGCCGAATTTTCTTTAGAGCCCTAATTTCTTCCTGAGTAGATCACAGGTATTTTTAGCACTAGTGTAGTATATCACCACTTCATGACACTGTTCCCCTTTTATGCTCTAAAGTTGTTTTAAATTCAACTCTGTTCAGCAAATGTTACCCTCCCTTTCCCAGCACTGTACCCTGAGCCACTTGGTAAATATTTGCTGAATTGGGCTGGATTCATCTAGCAACTACTGTATAAGGTAACATTGTGTCAACAGGCAAGGATGAAACTTAGGGGTAGGTGGAGATAAACAGATGAATATTTGAGCTCACTCACCCTCAATAAACTTGAAATTCTGATGATGCAATTGAGACATGTATATGACAATATATACATACCCCAAGGAGGACTGTAGAGTGCTGCATCCTATCAATAGTGACCTGTGCAGGTGGTGGGAGTCTGAATCCCACTTCTCACAGCACATTCACCAGATATTCAGCTCTTTGAGGACGGGGGGCCATGTCTCCTTTACTACTACATATTTACAGACTACCAAATAGTAAGTCTCAGTAAGTTTTTATCAAATGGGTCTATTTAATCCTAACAATCCTGAGTGGTATTAATCCTTTTAAAAATGTGGAAACTGAGGCTTAGAGAGGTAATATAACTTGCTTGAATTTATAAAGCTAGTAAATGGCATTGTAAAAATAACATTAACAATGATAATAACAATTTTCCATTCTAAGGAAGCCCACCTTCCATTTATCATTCTCCAAATGTCTCTGCCATGGGATTTGCTTTTCACACTAAGATGGAAAATGTTCTCTCTGGCTGAATGAAACTTGAAGTTTACAATTTGAGTTCTTGAGCTCTTGTTGGCTTTTCTGTGCTGCCAGTTTTAGGAGCTCCAAAAGGCACTGAATGGATTTGGGACAGATGGATCTGCCCACATTGCAGGTAAGAATACCCATGCCACTAGGCATATACAGCTAAACATATAAAAATGTACAGTGTTTCTTTAGTACAAAGGTTCCCTAATCCCTAGAGGAGAATTAATCCAACTTCAATTCAATGTAATAAATCTTTAGTGAATGCCTACTGTGTGTCAGGCACTTTTCTTAACACTTCTGAAGTAAAATATACAGTACTCTATGTGCCTGTCCTATCTCCTGCTGTGATAAAATAAATCCTTATTCATCTTCTTACATAGTAAAATACAAAGGGCAGCTAGTAAAGCCTCAAGGACAGAGACTGACTTATCTTTGTAGAGGAGTACAGAGCTAACACATAGTAGGCACTTTAATACATTTTCATGGAACTGAATAAATTTTTGAAATTTTATTCTGGAGTCAGACAAATCTGGGTTCAAATCAAATCCTGGCCCAACCAATTACTGGCTGTAATTTACCCACCAAAACCTCAGTTAGCTTGTCCATAAAATAGAGAAATTAACATTTACCTTTTAAGTTTGTTCTAAGGATTAAAAGGGATGGTGTTTGTAAGGCACAGTGTCTGACTCATATCAAGAGCTCAAGAAATGAAAACTAATCTTATTATTTCTAGTCCCACCTCTAGGTCACATTCACTACTGATTATTGTCACTTTTATTATTACATTCCAGGTTTTGCTATGTAGCACAACCAAGGCATAAGGTTTCCTAGTTAATAAATACTTTGGTTAATAAAGAGCCCCAACATATATCATGCAGACATCAGTAGTTATCAAAGATGTAGGATATGATGCTTCATATTAAATCTAAAACAACTAGAAGTCATCCTTTCTTTAATAACTCAGAAGATACTAGAGATCTTGCATTGCATAGTTCTAAAAAAGCTGACTGTTATTTTTCCTTTGTATAATACAGAGCTCACTATTATCTAGACCAGTATTTCTCAAACTTTTCTGACCATGACCCAACAAAGTAAAATAAAAAAGTAAGGAACATATTGAACACCATATGGAACACCACAGCTTCATATCACAACTCATAACATAGGTAACTGAAGCAAAGATTCATGAAATAATACTAACCCTTAATAAGTACCACCCAATGATACTTTCTTTTCTATTTCATTCAATTCTATCATTCCATTGTTTTAATTTTTAATGCCGGTCGAGACCCAATAAACTATCCATAGGTAAAACTAGAATCTAGTAACTTACTAATATTATTATCCTGTCCAATAGAGTGTATCAAGGATACAATTCAATGGATCCTCCCATTAAGCCATGAAGTTGTATTCATTCTGTTTTACATATTAAGAGACTGAAGGTCAGAAAGGTTATGTTAGTTGGGCTAAATAGGCTCCTAGAAGTTGATGACAGATCCAAGATCCACAAGTCTAACTCTGTAGTTCAGTCTCTTTAAAAATCAGAGATAAAAACAAAACCCCCAACAAAAGCCATATTATGACAACCTAATTCAATAAACATTTTTTTTGAGTACTTACTATGTATTAGACATTGAAGTAAGAGAGGATTTGACATGATCTATGCCCTCCAGGGCTAACAGATGACCAGTCAAGACAAGCATGCTTTGGTACGTGTACTTGCAAGTTTGAAGTGGGTACATTTTTATACTGGAGAAAATAAGCATATTCCCCACTCACCACCATCTTCTCTCTGGCCACACATTATCCCACAAAATGAGCACTGGAGACCTGTTGGTGAGAGAATGCAGTGTACTCCTCTAATAGCACACTTCTTTACAATCTGAAGTAAAGTCGATATTTTTCCTCCTACTGCTTTCTGCCACTATAACCCTAAAAGCAGTCCTTAATGTGACTTCACCAATGAGCATCATCATCATAACATCACATTATGACCAGAAGAGTGCTCTAATGCTGATTCCCCTAACCAATGTCTAATTTAGAAGTATCTTTAGGGTGACTTCAACTTCTGAGAAATAATGGCTTAATAAAGACAGGTCTTGACCCTGAAAAAGAATTAAGAAAGGACAGTCCTCTGACCTAAGACATTCCATAGCTACCAATTCAAAGTCAAAACCAAGTCAAAACAACTGAACCTTCCTAAATCATAGCTTTTACCTATCTCTTTCTAGCTTTATCTTTACACAACATATGCTGCATTCACACCAGATTACTTACAGTTTCTTAAGTAGGCCTTGTAAGTTCCCATCTCTATGCCTTTATTCATATGATTCTCTCCATGTGGAATTCCCCTTTCTTCTAATTTTTCCATCTATCCAGTTTCCCTGGCTCTACTCAAATGGCATTTCCTCCATGAAGCTTGTCTCCTTCCCCCAACAAGAACTAATGTCTCCCTCTTTTGTACATTGTACCTCCTCTGCTGAGACACTGTCCACATCATTCTGCTTGCCATTGTCCTTGCTTACTATAATATATTTTAAATACTATGATGCTCCAGGATGCATCTAGAATATGGTTTATATGCAACAGACATGCTATATATATATATATATATTTGTTGATTCTCCAACGAAAAATTTGATATAGAAGAGAAATTACCTTATTTTTCCCCCAAGAAAAGTAAACTTTGGCTGAGCTGGACATATTCCCAAACACTCTGGAGCGAAGACTTCTGATATTACTAAACGTGCAAGCTTAGTCAAGTGGCTAAGCTTTATTTTCTATAAAAAAGAGTTAACAGTACCTGCCCTAATTACATTAAAGAGATCAAACTGACACCATAGGGCAAAAATTATACAAGGCTGAGTGAACATGAAAGATGATCTCTATGGTCACAGATCTGTTACAAGCAGAACTATGCTGAGAACAGCTGAAGTTCTAGAATGCGAACTTGTTCTTCTGTTCTTGGGAAATGGACATGGGATAGTTCAGGAAGAATACTGTTAAGATTATACCAACTGCAAGCCCATGCCTCCAAAATTCAATGACTGGAGACCTGTTTAATAGTTCTTACTAAAGCAGTTCTAAGCTCCAAGTCTTTTTTCTTCTCATGAAAAACTTCAGCCAGAAATCTAAAAAAAAGAAGGAACTGAGATTCAAGTATTGACCTAAATATGGATGAATTTTTAACTTTTAAATAAACAAACACCTACCTAGCAAGAAGGTCCTAAGAATATCCAACCTTCTCATTTGCCTGCTCAAATCAGTAAATCATTTCTTTTTTGTCCTTCATTAATAGGCATGAGATTTTCCAAGGCTAAAATATGGACAAACATCTTCTATACCATCCCTTCTCCAAAATCAAGTCCCTCCCGCTTTTTACAGATATATTTCTGCCCATACAAACACAGTCTAAAAACCAACCAAATTCTTCCAGAGAGCTTGCACATCACATACAATATGTATAGACACACACCTGCAAAATCCTCCAAAGATTCTTGGTGAAGACTTAAAATAGATTCATATGGAAAGAGAAAAGTTTTATTGTCTGCCTGTTCCATAGCAAAGGATCTTTTTCTTTTTCTTTCTTTCTTTCTTTCTTTCTTTCTTTCTTTCTTTCTTTCTTTCTTTCTTTCTTTTTCTTTCTTTCTTTCCTTTCTTTTCTTTCTTTCTCTCTGTCTCTCTCTCTCTCTCCCTCCCTCCCTCCCTCCCTCTCTCTCTCTCTCTCTCTTTCTTTTTTTAGCATAGGACCTGCAAAATGGCATTTGGGATATCAGATCAACTAATAACCCCTTCCCCTACTTTAAGGATTACATTGAAGAAAAAAATCGACTTCCCTTTATATCCTTCCTGTAAGCATATGAAGTAGAATTCAAAATCGGTGTTTCAAGATTGTGTTTTCAATTTGAATCTTGAATCCCTTCAGGACAATTTGTATTATTTCTTCATAACGGCAACAGGTCACAGCAACAGGTCCCCATTTAGAACAATTTGTGAATTAATTTATGGTGCCTATTTATTTATTTCCCCCTTCAGACCCTTGGGGAAAAGGTACAAAATTAGGTTTAACCTAACACCAGTCCTGACGCGACCCATTACCCCTTCCCAAGTGTGTGTAATCAACAACTACGCCAAGGCTTTTGTGGTTGTTTTCCTCTTTTCTCTCTCTCTCTTTTTTTTTCCTTCAAATGGGAGGGTAATGAATTGAGGGTCAGCATTCTGCTGACATCCTGCACATCTCTTCAGTCAATCTGATCACTTCTAGAGGTGTTCACACTGCCAAAGCCATCCATCATGCTGCCTTGCCAAGCAGAAGGAAAACTGATGGCAAGTTACAAAAATCTCATTAAGCCACTTTTTGCCTCAACCTCTTCACCATTCCGTGAGAAACAGAACTTCAAAGTTCAGCCTATTGGGAAAACAAGGGGAAAGGAGGAAAACAGCTGATACAGTGAAAAGGAAAAAAAAT
This sequence comes from Homo sapiens, assembly GCF_000001405.40. Taxonomy (NCBI): domain Eukaryota; kingdom Metazoa; phylum Chordata; class Mammalia; order Primates; family Hominidae; genus Homo; species Homo sapiens. Next base: position 50,118,206 of record NC_000001.11, on the reverse strand, counting down.
AGATCTGAAGTAAGTTGGTTTCTGGGAAAAAGTCAAATAATTTGCAAGTTACAATATACAGACAGCAAAGATGGGACCATATCAATTAAGCTCAGCCTATTTTTATTTTCTTTCTGGCTGACTTTTAACTTTCCTAACAGGCTCTTTCATGAAATTAAAAAAACAGCACTGGTTAAAATTAATTTTATCTTCATCGTTTTTCTCTTTTGACAACTAAATCCCAAGTGAATTCTAATTCCAAAGGAGATCATGGATACAGCTTGTGAAATCCTAGGAGGATGCAGAAAACTTAATAAAGCCATACAATTCCGAGGAAGAACTGAGGGCTTGTCTATATAGAAAAAAACAACAACACTGTGTGCCACCCTTCTTGCATGCTGGGGACAGTATGGAGACAGTGAGGGTAGCATACAATGTCACTGCCCAGGACATCTGGCATGGGCAGATGGGCCTCTTTCTGGGGAAGGGCTTTTGCCAAGGGACAGAAAGACTGACAGACTGAAAGAGACTTAACACCCTCAAAGCACCTTCAATTTTCAAGTCCTATGTATGACTGGTGCCTTCAAATACTGTTTCTCATCTGATTCTTGCAGAAACCCTGTGAGTTAGATATTGTCATCACCATTTAAAGATGAGGAATTGTGGCTCATGTTGAAGTAACTCATCTGTGATTGCCCAGTTAGTAACTGGAAGAGCTAGGATTCCAACTTAAGTTCAACTGACTCTGAAGTCCTTTGCACTTGCCAGTTTCTTAAGACAAAGAACAATCTTTTTAGAGGCTTGCCTGTACAGGCACACCGTGATGTTCCTCGGAGGCCAGAGGCAGACTCACGGTTCTCTGGTCTCTGAGATAGCCTTGCCAACAAAGGCATGGTAATAGCGGTATCTAGTAGAAATAAATCTAATTTTTCTACGTGTGTACAGGTCAATATAATATGTTTTTAGCCCCATCTGAACACAGGCCCTCTGGGTCCTAATCACAATAAGCAGGTTGCTTTTAAGATTAACTTTTCCACTAGAGAGGTGATTAAAATATAATCAAGCTAGAAAGTTATCCTCCCCCAAAGTCACCTAAAACAGAGAAACTCCAAAATAAAACCAATTTACATATTTTAGCCCAAATTAAAAAGTAAAAGCTAACGATTCCCTTTTAATATCCTGAATAATAAGTGCACATTTATGTAAAGCTTCCTTTGGGGAATGGTTACTATGAGGACAACTTTCCCAATATTATTCATAAATATCACTTTTGTTTTGGTGTTACAGTAAGAATCTGGACTTGTGGGAACTGTACTATCTGTACCCAGTGCATCAACAGAGATAATTAATGTTGAAGACATGTATAATACCAAGAATTTTGGATGTGTGGTTGGCTGCATTACAAAAAGTAAAATAAGAAAAGATAAGTCAAATCTGGTAAAAATCACAAATTTCAGGGACTTGGTCATTTACTCCCTTTTAAGTGAGCATTTTCCTAAGGAAAGCTTCATTAGTAAAGATGGCAAGTTCTCAGCCTTTCTACTACAGACTTTTAAGTAGCACTTAGAACTAAAGTTTATCATTAGAGCAGTATTTACTACTGCTGCATCTTCAAAGGGGGCACTTGAAAAAAAAAGTTCAACTCAGCCTGTTATTTTTCATGTACAAATTAGAAAGCAAACCTTTAAAGGGTTTAGACTGGCAGCTTAGGAAAACACAGAGTACTTTAGAAGCCATTATTGGCACATCCCACGGCACACCGGGGCTCCCAGCTGTCTACAACACATGACACACACACACACACACACACACACGCACACACACACACACACCACAGTATTTAGATGTATATGACAAAGTAACTATGATTTCTGCTCCACTAGCAAACTTCCAATTTGGCATGCCAAAACGGTCACTATCTGTTCAGATGCTCCTGGGAGGTAACAGAGGAAAAGGAATTCAAAAAGCCACTTACATCAGAAGCAAGGAGGCAAGACATTCGTGTTTCTGTAAAATTAACCAGTTTCAGCCAAGCTTCATGGGCTGCTGACTGAAAGACAAGTTCCTTTCAACAGTCCAAACTTCTATATTTCTTCCTGAGGCTGAAGATGTGGACACATGAAACCTTATAGACTAAAATGTCCAAAAGATCTCTTATTTCTATCTTTTGGAGTCACACCTAGATGCTTATAAATACAGAAGGAAAGACATTTATGTACTTGAATGTTCCAGCAGACCTTTTCTTACTATTTGACACAAACCTCATTGTGCAATGTGCCACCTTAAAAATCCCTCACCCTAACTTCATCTCCAATCACAGGGACTTATCCTCTAATTAATTATGTCTTCTGATCATTGTCAAAAGAAAAAGAAATGGTGACCTTGGATTCCACGTTCCAAAGAAATGCACATAGTAAGTCCTCAACAAATACATCTTCACCCAACAAGGAATGACAGTCAGTCTCTATTATGAACACTGTTGGCAAAACAACTTTAAGGGCTAAAGGATAACTCATAGAAGCAGGAGAAGATTCAATGCTACGAAGTGCAAACAGAGGAAACCTCCATGCTGTGTTTTTTTCAGAATTCACCATCTTCGCTGGGTCATTTCTCTGCTTCCCCATAGCCTGAAAAAAGAACTAAACTTCCTATGGAAAAAATATTTATGAACTATATTTTATAGTTTAAAATGAGTAATTCAAAAATTAAGCTAAAGTTTACATGTTATTTTTCAAATGAAGAGTCCAAGGGAGGTTATTTTCAGGAGAGACCTAAGACATATATATTTTTTTCATTAAAAAAATCCCATATGCTAGTTTTGCATTTTACTTTTGGGGTTAAAAATAAGACTTTCCAAAAACAACAAAAAACAAAAACGCAAGCACAAAAATTACACTGACCTTATTTCCTCAACACTTCTACTGCTTTCTCAACCAAAATTTATTTAAGGATTCCTTTAGGGCTCTCAGCATTTCTTGATCCTTGTAGAGGGGGATCTTTATTGAGGGGAGAAATACCTTTGGTATTAGATACAACAAGGATCTGAATATGAGCTCCCCTAAAGCAAAATTGGTTGGTCTTAAAATGTTCTGAGCAAAGACAGTCTCAAGGGTGGGGTGGAGAGAAAGAGACAGCTGGAGCTAGAGTGAGAGACAGAGAGAGAGAGAGAGACAGAGAGACGGAGACAGAGACAGAGAAAGAGAGAGAAAGTCACCAGCCTATTAAGAGCCCTGACACTGCGTAAGTTATTTCTTAATTAATGTGCAAGGGAAAGCATAAATATTACCATTAAGCAGAGTGGATGTGAACATCCAAAGCAAGCTAGCTGGCTGATTGCTGTCTTATTTTTTTGTTCTTTTTTAACAATTCCATTTCCAAACTGCTCAATTCCTAACACTGATGCTCCAAAGCTACTGTGAATACACTGCCTGAATACTTAATGAAGTAAACAACAAACAAAATGGCTTATCTGTGGTGCCCCCAGCTAGCATCCCAAACTGGATATAATTAAAGGTGTGAACAAGCAAGCAAGGAAGTAATGGACCTGCAAAGTCAAGGTTCAGAGAAATTATCGGGCATCTTGCACTGCACCAGTTCAAATTTATCACTCATTATCTCCTATACCGGAAAGATGCAGACCCACATGTTGGTACTCTTCTACACTCTTGTCTTCCAGCCTTTTTTTCCTTTTCACTGCTAAATAGCTAATTTAAGACAATTACTGCTTGTGACTCCCACCCACCCACAGATCACCTTTTCTTTTTTTTTTACCCTTAGAAAGCCAGTGACCTATAAAAGCCCTTTACCCCTAAAATACGTGGAGATTTCACAAATATAAGGATGTTCCTAATACACACACACTTGCACACCAACTTACAAAGCAAAGCACAGATGTTAACACTTCCATCTTACCGCCTCCTTATTTTTACCAATGGTAAAGACTAGGTTCAAATGCCCTCAAAGAAAAACATCCTGCCCACCGCCCCCCATACATATACACATATCCATATACACTCACATACACACATTTTAATTCATACCCAGGCCCTTGATTGAAGGGATGGCTTTTAGCTCACAAACATTGTTATGCATTTGCACACTTATAATTTCTTAAGTGGCAGCTAAAGAAAGGTGTTTGGTTACTAACAGACTGCAGGGTCTGAATATATATTTTTTAATGAATATTTGAAATTTCATATTTTTCTAATATGAGAACTCTTGGAGTCATGAAGAGAAACCAGTTCTTATGGGAAGCAGCCCAGTTTGGTTTTCTCTCCATTTATAGATGCACATATACTTGCAAGTAAGTGTGTATACATGTTTAGTAATACCAAATAAGGAAAGCCTAAGACAGGTGCAGGAATCTGCAACACACTTATACTGATACACACAGAGTCTCTCTGCTTCTCTTTCTCGCACACACACACTTTCCACATATACATTACATGGATGGGGGAATGGATAGTGGTAAATAAAAGGTTGACTTTACTTTCAAAAGGAGAATTGACCAAATCTGTACAACATGGCCCATCGACTGGACAATAGTAAGATAAAAGCTTGAAAATGTTCATGTCCCTTCCTAGCCCCAAAATTCCCAATGACATTGGGAAAAAAATACTGCATTGCAGCATTTGCCAGCGCATACTCGTGTGTTTAGCATCCTCTGGCCAGCTCACCAACAAATGTACATATTAAATGTCTAGGCATATAAATTAACTGCCTGGTGGCCACAGATCATTGGAGCTAATGAAGAAATTTGTCAAGGCCAAAGTACTTTCGTCTATGTATGATGACCTCTATGAAGACAACCATTTCTTACTTGAGGTACATACAGACAATTTGTTTCTTTTTTTAAAAAAATTAAAATAAGGTGTTAAGATGCTCAGGGCTAAATGAAGCAGCATATCTCCTCATGGAAGAAATAGTATTTGGCCTACATATAGGAAAAGAACCCACCTATAATAAGGAAATAAGTGTAAAGGGAAGAAATCAAACCAAAAAAAAAAAGACTTACTCTGAGGAAATCCCATTGTTGTTCACAGTAACTCTAACTTGAGAAAAACATCTCAATTCATCCACAAGTCCTTTTAGAGATATTGAACACACACATACAAAGCACCATTCAAACAATAATTTCTAGATGTGAAATTTCAAATAGCTTATACCTAATAGAAATCCTAAGTTTAAAATATCTGAAGTCCAAAGTGTCCCAAATCCAATTTCAAGACTAAGTTTAGAACTAAAAGGCAAATGCGCAGTTCATTTTCTTTCTCTCTCTCTCTTTCTAAATATTCTATTGTTATTATCTCACAACAATCTGGCCTTCCTCTCATAACAACACCCTAATTTTCAAAGGACCAAGGAAGGAGTATTGGGAGAGAAAAAGTTTTAAGGTTTTGTGCAAACCATCAAACAGAAGCAAGGCCATCTACATCTGGCCAGGAGAATGACTTGAATGAATGGCAGGTAAAAATGAATGGGACTGAGATCACAAATGAATGGTTAAGTTGTTTGTTAGCTTTTTAAAAAATGAGATATTAAATTGTCTTGTAAATCAACAATTCTCAAAGTAATTTTTCAGCTACTTCCTCATCTATGTTAATTTTACCCTTTCAAAAATTTAAATATTAAATGATTTAGCTGTTATGTTACTATGAGATATATGGACATTCTGATCATTAAAACTGCTACTTAGTCAGATGTTTTTTGCAGAAATATTTCCAATTGGATTTTCACTTCTTAATAAATGCACATTCAGCCTTGTGCTTCCATAAGAGCACAACTCCACATGAAGGTAGTAGGCATTAATATTTTTAAGACAAAGGATCGAGAAAGGTCAGCATCAGAACCACGTGTCTTTTTTACAACCCAAGCCAAGATGACACTTCTTACAGAAATTATTTTCCCCTAACTAAAAATTGCCAGAAAATTCTCAGAAAATAAAAAAAGAAACTATATTGGAGACTTAAAAAAATTCTATTTTTTTAAAGGTGACACAGGCTTATGCACTCAACATATGGCCGCAAGTTTCAAGTGTATGACAAAAAATACAAGTTTATTTATTTTTACCTCAAGAGTGAAAATAAAATTTTTAAATCCCCTAATAAGAAGAGAAAACAAAAAGACGCATCTGCAAGGAAAAAAGAATTGGGGGGATTTGCAATGAAGAGAGCAAAAATTAAGTGTACTTTCAATAAAGCCAATTATATTTCCTAATCTTTTAGTGTATTTCAGCATTTTTAAATCTCTCATTTTTGGGCTTACAATTAGCTCCCTGATCATGCATCTATTTTGTCCTTTAGTAAAAAACCCTAACAGATCACCATTTCAATTGTTTTTACGCTATCTCCTGTTCACCCAAATACTACACCTTTCAATCCTTATGGTACCCACCATCATGAGAAAAAGAGACTATTAGTAAAGCACATTTAGAGAAAAAAGAGAGATGCTTGTCACCCAGTGCACACATGGGTCCCAGACGTCCAAAGACACTAATATAAAAATCAGCTTTTCACTCAGTTTGTGCCAAGACCAGAATCAGGACCAAATGCCAAATGGAAGGCAGTGGTTATGAGAGTGCAAGCCTGATGGATCCTGTGACTGTGGGCATGGGGAAAGAAGGAAAGCAAAAAGCTCTTCATTTATTATTTTGTAAAGTAATTTCTACTGAGGAAAAAAATGAGAGGTACAATGAATTCCCCTGAAACTATAGTATCAACATCCGATTTAGTAAAAATACCAAAATCACCTAACCCCAAATCATTGCTTAGGGTAGATCTATTCTACCTATATTTTTCCTATGAATATTTGCTGGAAATTTCTAAGAAATCATTTGCAGAACCTATCAGCTGTGGGAGTTCACTATTATGCTTCCGTCAACTTCATTCAATATAATTTACATTTTTTCAAATGGTCTCACAGGATTCCTTGCGATTTTTCGCATGTACAATTTCACACCAGGGAAAAGGGGGAAAAAGGAAAAAAAAAAAAGCAAGATTCCCTACCCTCCCTTCCCCCTCACCTCCTCTCTGGGTTTTTTAAACAACAACAACAACAACAAAAACCACACGCGCACACACACACGCACACACACACAAAAACAGGGGAGACAGAACAGATGCTTAAAAATAGATTTCTAAAAATCACTGTAAACCAGAGTTAGAAATGTAATTAACACCTATTAATAACGAATAATTAAAGTTGGGCTGGCCACAAAGAACAGCAAAGATAATCGAGGTCCTGTCCCCCTCCCCTTTTTTTTTACACTGTTTGCAGTGTGTTCTCATGATAGCCACCTGCTCCCTACTCGGCTTCTCCTCTGTTCGTTTCCCCGGCAACCTTTCATTGGGTTTTCCTCCCAGCTATCGCTTTCAGTTGGGCTGCTCGGTCTAATCTTATTTGTTTTACACCCATCAAAACAAGCAGCCAGACAAAGGCAATCCTCTAAGAATGGGAAAAAGACCACAGCTTTGTTATAACATCTATGCAGAGCAAAAAGTCCTCCCCAGGCTTTTCTAGGGAAAAATAAGTAAGATGGTTATGAATTTACAGCCTGCCCCCATACCCAGCTCTGAAACCTTGTGAAACCTATTGCTGGTGAAAATTCAAAGTCAAAGTGGGCACTCGTGGCATCTAATCATGCCATTTTGTGCCATATCTTCAGGGTCAACATCAGGCGACAGAAGCGGCACTCAAGGAGTTTCCCTGCTTCTTTTTTCAGAAAAAGATGATGCTAAAAATAGATTTACTACTTCGGCAGAAAGGTTTTCCACTTCCCCTTCCACATCCGAAAGTCCTGTTTCACAATTGCATCGGCTGGTACTGAATCTCACCTCCTCCACCCCTCATTCCCATCCTTCCCCATCACTCCTAGCATGAGACTGAAAAAGAAATGTGCCTTTAACTTTAGCAGTCGTGTAATTCCGTTGAAGGCTCACAGAGGCGGTGGACACGCCAGCCAACAGTGACGGTGACATTGATTGTCAAAAAAGACACCAACCTTCCTTGGCTAAAATGTGTGTTTGCTGGAAGAGGCAGTGTGTGTGCCTTGTGTGCATGCAGTGCCATTACACTTGGAGATGGATTCTGGTTTTCAGAAAAGAGAAATACTAATAAACACACACATACATACACACACAAACGATCAGCACAGTGATTTACGATGCACAGTCCAGCATCCTTACACATACACACATACAAGCACACACACACACACACACACACAGGGCTGGGACCTCCAGGCTGCCTTCCTCTTTTCACTTACCATCTTCAAGCCATTCCACTCCATCTGTGATCAGAAGAAGATGGACCCTCACACAGTGTGTCAAAAGCGGAAAGGAACGTTATGTAAAAGCTGACATTCCTTCTTACAGAGCTGCTGCCCAGAGAAGGAAGCAACAACTCAACACGCCAGGCACTGCTACACATACAAGCCGCCTCCTCTTTTTTATGAGGTCATGACAGGAAACTCTTTGAAATACAAGATGCAGCATTTACTGAAGCCCAAATAAATCACTCTCTTTGCCGTTTTGACTGCGCAGTCCCCCGAAACACAACTGCCCATCTCAGTGTTCAGTATCCAGGAGCTGCCTCTCGAGGTTTAAATTTCCAGCACGGAAATTGAGAGATTCCTAACCCCGCTGCATCCACCCCCAGCCCCACAAAACCCAGGCACGTAGACAAACCCCCTCTCCCTTACAAAAAAGAAAACCCTTCTTTTGCCATTATGTCTCAAGTAATATAACCTCTTTCAATAAACCAGCAATTATTTCAGCCCTCCCCCTCCACCCCTTGCCTTTATGTTGAAGGGAAAACTGACAACGACTTGCTAAAAATGACAATCTTATATCCCCATTGCTTTTCAATAAAAGGACCTACCCGCACTCTCTACACAAAAGAGATAGTAAATGTAGGAACCAAACAGCAGCACAGAACTAAACTCTTGTGCAAGCATAAGACTGGTCAAGGTGTAGATGCTTTTCTTCCCTCCAGCAACACAAACAACAGATTATAAATCTAGTCATACCTACCATAACCATTCTTATTGGCAAATATTGGGTCTCGCAGAGCTTCGACTCTTCTGTTAAAATTTGCAAAGATTTCAGAATATATATTTAAAATGACTACTATTGTTATATATAATTAAAGATCCACAAAACACAGTGTGGATGATTGTAAAGCAAATCAATTATTTTTGGGGGGGTGGGCGGGGGAGAGAAAGAAAAAAAAGAAAAGGAGCAGTGAGCTGAAACCCCCGATTCTAGGATGTAGATAAGAACAACTGAACAGAGCCTTGCTGAAATTGGCTCGAAGCTTCCCCTTTTTACATCCATTTATGGGACCATCTGTCAGCCGAAGCCTGGATCTGATTGGCTGGGGAAACGAAGGGAGGCGTTGCAACATCAGGTGCTATTTAAATTAGCTACTGCCAGATTGACGATGTTAATGATTTGGTGACCTCTACAACAACAGAGACCAGATTTCTGAACTGCTTCTTGTGTCTGGTAATTAAGGCCCGGCTGAAGCAACAACAGCCATACTTGTATTTTTACCTTTTCCCTCCTCCCAGCTCAAAAGTACTGTAACAACTGCAGGTCACTGGAGGCTTGCAAACCTAAACTAACAGTGGGAGGGTCCTTCTTTTCCCATCCTGAGGGCCGAACCGTGCCACCTCTCTGATGGAGGGCTTTTCCACCGTAGAATATTTTCAACCACCTTATCTTTCTAGACAGTTGCTTTCTAGCGAAATGCATATTTAATGATCTGCCTGTAGGCTTAAAGGTACAACAAAAGCACTTTAATGTGCTAATTCATCTACAATTTAACTTTATTATTTCCAGATATTGCTGATTTTTAGTAAGTAATGCTCCTTCTCCAGCTAACATGGCCAACATTTCAAAAGCAAGCAAGTTGGGGATTAAGCTTGCTCCGTGAACTAGGTTCATACAAGTTTGTCTCAGAAAACTATTTCCTAATAAACAAAAAGAAAAAAAATGGTGGGGGTAAGGGAGGGGCAGCTGTCAGCCTCTACCTTTCTGCCTTCTGTCTGAGCTTTTCAAAACTGAGGATGATGAATGATTTACTTAAATGAATTTATTTTTCAAGTTGGATAGGAACATGATCTGAATTTTTAAAAATCCACTAAAACACATTCTCCTACCCCTTTAGAGAAAGGTAAAACATGCTTTTGACAACAGCCTCATTTCAAAACCTGTGCAGAGTGTTCATTTTGCTTAACTAAATAAGTGATTTTGCTTCTCTCCTTCAAAGGGATGTCTTTTTTTCTTTGGCCTCTTAAGAGATTTGCAAAGAGACATTTAGCAAGTGTATGGTGAGGTATACAGTTTGTCTGCCTATTTACACATTTAACAACCTCTACACTACCAAGCCTTCAGTAGTGTATTTTTTGTTCTGGTTTGGGTTTTTTAAGTGGCTTACCTGAGAAGTTCATGCTTCACACCTATGCAAAAGACTAATGTGTCACTATTTATTTAACTCATAATTTAATCAATTTGTTCTTCAATAAATACACAGTGGTAACACATATTACCAAATACAAAATTCAATGTAATCTTTAATCTTTGACTAGAGTTGACAGTGAGACAGAACTAGGCAGAGTAGACATACAGACCAAAAAATAAGCTATATTTCTGGGTTTCAAAGTCCAAGAATAAATGGGTTTGTGAAAAATTATTAGGAAAGAAAATAACCTTACATTTTTCAAGATTAAAACTATTCTGTCCAAGATGCTGTTTCATGAACACACACATATAAACATACATATATATTCACACTTCAGAAAATACAGATACATCATAAAACAATATGTGTTGGGTACACTGCATAATCCATTAGACTTGAGTATGAATACGTTCAGCTATTAGAAATGAAAATACATGAAATAGAAAAGTACAAATGTTAAAACTATAATTCCTTAAGGTGGAACAATACTCAGTTAAGTAAACTTTTAAAGTAATTTCTTTAGCAAATGTATAAAATGTCCTGTGAGTCACAATAGTACTACAGTATCTGTTGAACTGTGTACTGAGGGTGAATTCACAGGTTAAAGTGTTCTAAATGGTTCAGCATATATACACAGAGTAGGTATGTGTGCCCCAAATCAACAACATAAACTCTGAGTGCAATTTCACCAATATTAAAATATTGTGAAAAGTAAACATTAAGACAATGCTGACAAACACAAATAAAAACAGCTCACTTGGAACAAAATATTTACTTAGATTTCTCTGGAGGTTATAAAAGATAAAAATTTTAAAAACCCTTTTCTCCCATCCATACTAACCTCAGTACACTTATTGAACCATAAATTAACATTAGGTATATTAAAAGGTATTCTGGCCACTTTTCCAAAATAGTAGCTGTATATACAGTATAAATAACTAGCTGGTTTTGCTAGGCTAAAAATTCATGCATTTTGTATATTGATCACTTTTCCACAAACCTCCACTTTAAAGTCTTTCAACAGAATCCTCAAACAAATGCACAAATGTCCTCAGAGGCCTTTTCTCTAAAGACAAAGGCAGAATCCTATTGTTGGGAAAAGTCAACCTTATTATCGCATTTCCAATAGTACAATTCATCTTTCAGAGTGAGGGGCTGACCGCTACATCAGTGATGTGACATTTGTAAAGCAACAGATTCTCAATATATTATCTCAAGAATCAGGCAGGCGAGTCTCCCAGTCATGCATGATTTTTTTTTTCTGCCACAATCCACCACCACAGAAAGAAACTTGTCTCACTCAAGCAGCTAAGGCAACCTAAAAATGATATCCCAGCACTGTGGGGCTGCCAGCGCCGCTGTATTCCTCTTACCATAAATGAGCAGTTTCTTGACTCATTAATGACAATTTCCCTTAAAAGAAGTAATCTCATATCAGTCAGCCCCTTGCCACCATGCACACATCCCAAAGGTTGCAGATATCTCAGCATCAGTCGCCGGCAGCCAGCTTTCCCACACAGAGTCCAGATGGACTGTACCAGAAGCCAATTCAGCGTTAATAACTACCTACTCCGCGCAGTGGAGAAGCCTTACGTGGCACAATGGGCTAGGAAACAGCAGCCGGCTGAAACTGCAAATAAAAAAAGACAACCAAATTCTCCAAAAGCACCAAAAGGAAGGAACAGAAATGGAAGCGTGAATTGTATTTCCTTGACTTCCATGAGGCGGAAAAAAAGGAATCCTTCATAAATATAGGGAAAAAAAAGAAGAGGGGGGAAAAACAGATGCTGCCCAGAAAAAAGTGACAAAATATTACCTCATTATTTAACAAAGCAGCATTAAGCGTCCTGCTGATTTCAAACATCTTGCCACAGATTTTGTTTTAAGAGAAACAGATAGAATCCTTTGCAAAGCACTCCGTCTGCAAAGGGTTCTTCAATTTTCTTGCGCACCACGGAACAGTCAATATATTATTTCCCTAGAGTTCGTACATTAAAACCTCTAGTCAGTGAGCTGAATTTTCCCCTTATCTCACACACAGTAGACTCCTGTTATATGTACTGCTCTCTTTGCAAGAGCAGCCTGCCCCAAACATGGCTGGTGTTTAAACTACTCTTTAAAGTAACAGTTCACTATATAACCACCAGGTGGGTAGAGTGCACAGATTCAAATGAACCATCTTAAAAGATTTCTTTTTTTTTTCCCCTTGGAATAGCTTTTGGGTGTAAAATGTGACATGAGAAACACTAGCATCTTAACAGGCAAGATTGTCTCTCACTATATCTTGTCAAAATAAATAAATAAAATTCCTTCTCTTGACTTAAAGCAAGGAAATGAAACAAAACAAAACAAAACACTGCCACAAATTCTAATAAGAACTGCGAAGAATGAAACACAAACAAGCTTTGTTTCATTCAGCAAAGGATGAACAAGGAAAATACAATCAACACAGAGCAATGGGGAAGGCCAAAAACCTCATGAAAATATTTCTCTTTAGCAAAAACAGAAAAATATTCACACACAGTGATGAAAACTCAAAAGTGTGCATGTGGATGAAGCACATACAAGATGGAGGCAAGAGTTTAAGGGTGCAACTTTTCTTCTGGGTAGAAATTAGGTTTATTTAATGTGGGTCTTTCCTGATAAGAAATAACTGAAAGCTTAAAAGTAAAGACACCGAAAAAAAATACAAAATATTAAGCCTCTCTTTTAAAAATACAATTATATGAATAGTGATAAACAACCACAAGAGCAAGCCAATCACATGTCTCTACCCATTGCTGTTCTTTTTCCCGAAGATCTGCCTCGAAGTGGAACATTTCTGTCGTATACTATTTTGGATGTATAGCTAACTTGGCATCTCCTTTGTATCACTCTATTCCAATTAATCTGCTCCTCTGCCAAGAATAAACAGAATGTCCCAAGTTGAAAGCTCCAAGTGATTGGGGGTATGTTAAAAGGATATAGAACCACCTGAACAAAAATAAATTACATCACTTATATTGTTATATGGCCTGATTTTAAGGAGGATCTTATTACTTATAAAGCATGCAACACCATTCTATGTTCCACATGTGTCTAAAACAGAAACCAACACACACAGATACCTGGGATTTTCTTTTCTTGGCTGGACAAAATTAAAGGTCTGGAACCTCCACATTTTCTTGCAAACACAGGTGTTGACAGTAATATTTTCCCAGCCCATCCAGGCCGTATTTAGCCATACACAATAGTGACTATGTCCTTCATCTTTAAGTCAAGACGGCATCACTTAATACCATTTAACCTCCTTGCATATATTAAGTTTCAAGTGACAATTTTTAACTGGGGAGTGAGAAGGAGGAGTTGCTCTCATCAAATTCTGGTTGTATGAAATAAGCTAATTTGTACACTCACCATATGTCTTAAACACTAATTAAAAAATGTCACTTTCTTCAAACATTAAAATGTAATCAGCCTAGTAAATAAAATATTCTCAAGTTTTCTTGCCTTGGTGCTAATTTAAAGAGTGTTTATCTCAAGGTAACCTCTCTATTTTGATTACCAAGGAAGACTTTTAATTTGAAAAGGGTAAAAGGGGATACTGGGGACTGGGGGGAGAGAGAAGAGAAAACCACTACTGTATGAAGCTGCACAAAGGAAAATAAGATGAAGCGGGTTTTTAAGGACCCATAGTCTTGTTACCCTAAGGCAAATCCAGCCAATCAATACCACCCATTGACGGTCTACCATCTGCCAGGCTATCCAGTGATGTGGCTAAACAGACCTGTTCCATATGACTGTAGCCGGCTCATTTTCAGTCGATTAGGGCAGTTCCAGAGCATTCACGTGCAACAGCACAAAACTCCAAGTCAGACTGAGCCTCTCTCTTCACACCAGTCCCTCCGAACACAGCTGCAGACCTTTTCCTCCTGTTCCGGCTGTCTGGATTACCTCTTCTTGCCCCTCAATTGAATTAGCAAAATGGGGTGGGAAGGTAGAGTGAACAGACACTCACATATCCACACACACACATATAGATAATTGCTGGCCCTTCTTCACTGTCATGCAGAAATCAGGAATTCCATGTGCTCTGCCCTAATATGATTATAGCACACCATTTAAATAGCGTCATCAGTGACTATGACCTGACATTTTCCTGTGGTTCAATTTATTTTCATCCTTTACCTCTTCCCTTGAAAAATAAACCTAGACTGCTGGCATTTCCTTCTTTAGGAAAAATACAATCAGTCTGCCCAGAAAATGGTATACTATATGTAAAAGCTTTTGAGAAAATTTAAAGCTTAATTTTCCTTTGTTGAATTGTGGTGTTGGTTTCTGTCTTTTTTTTTTCTTTATCATGTAGAAACATTAAATCAATTTTTATAGGAAAATGCAAACATACTACAGAGGCAAGAAAGATGCACCAGACTGATGTGAAGGAGTCTATCAGAAATTCACTGTCGAATGTTCTCTGTGAGATATATGACCTGATAGTCAATAATGCCTTTCTCCTTCCTAAGTAGTTTTGTCTACTACAGATTGTGGGAAAGCTAGAAGAATGCTACTGTGGGGGGAAATGTGACAAATGGATGTCTAACCTGTCTAAATCGCCAAGAGTTCACCTGTGCAGGTAAATGGACCTAAGAGTAGATTCATACTTCATCTTCCTGCTTTCTCTTCATATTCCTAAGCCTTATGCAAGAACAGTAGCTGAAAGTAAAAGTTTCCTTTCCAGAGTCAGTGTATGCTTACTTTTTCAAATGTGCCTTTGACCATACTCTTAAAGCACTAGGATGTCTTTCTGGGAAAGAAAATTTGAAGTACAGGAAAACTATCTTACTTACAAAATTCTGAAAAAAAAAGGTAAATACACATTTATCCAAGCATCTGATTTAGGTGGAATGGCTGTCTGGACTTTTCCCTGATATATTCTTCATCATAACCCCCAAAAAACTCAGCAGGGTCAATGTGAAAACACACAGAGATTTCTGAAGATCCCTGCATTAAGGGATTTGGGGCCTCTTCATATCAGTTCAGATGAGCTTTACTAAAAATAAAAAACCAAAACAAAGAAACAAACAAACAACCCTGGTATATGTATAAATTTTTATAAATCTAAGTGCACGAGCAGGTAAAGTATGGAGTAGCTATTCATACCATTAAAGGATATAGTGTTTGGTCAGTTTAATAAATTTTTGAAAATGACTTGATATGGAATTTAAAAAAATTCTGGACTCATTTATAATTCTGTAACTAATAATAAAGGAATAGATGTAAAAGGCAAAGAAGGTACATCCATGGAAAAAGAAGGGAGGAGGAGGAGAAAGAAGGAAGAAAAGGTCAAAGGGAGAGGAGGGGAGGGGAGAAAGGGAGGAGAAGAAGAAATAACGAAATTAACAGGAATTCTTTGACTTGCCAGTTAGGGCAGAGTTTTTATTTTATTTTATTTTATTTTATTTTATTTTATTTTATTTTATTTTATTTTATTATTTTATTTTTGAGATGGAGTCTCGCTTTGACGCCCAGGCTGGAGTGCAGTGGCGCCATCTCGGCTCACCGCAAGCTCCGCCTCCCAGGTTCAGCCATTCTCCTGCCTCAGCCTCCTGAGTAGCTGGGACTACTGGTGCCCGCCACCACACCCGGCTAATTTTTTGTATTTTTAGTAGAGGCAGGGTTTCACCGTGTTAGCCAGGATGGTCTCAATCTCCTGACCTCGTGATCTGCCCGCCACGGCCTCCCCAAGTGCTGGGATTACAGGCGTGAGCCACCGCACCTGGATGAAATTAACAGGAATTCTAAAGCACAAATGAAAACGCTATATTTTACCGGGAGTCTACTGTATACCAAACACTGTATTAGGCACTTGACATACACAATTTTACTCAACCCAGTAAATTGTCAGTAGTGACAATTATAGTATCTAAGCATACTTCTAGAAATGTGTTTTCCTTATCTAAAAGTAAGATATCTCTTCCTTTATGTCACAGAAGAATATGCTTAGTAAATATTTGTGTTTATTAATTAAGAATTTTTCTTTTTTGGTAGAGATAGGGGTCTCAGTATTTTGCCCAGCCTTGTCTTGAACTCCTGGCCTCAAGAGATCCTCCTGCCTCAGCCTCTCAAAGTGCTAATATTATAGGTATAAGCCTCTGTGCCCAGCCTTAGTAAATATTTGTTGAAATCAGTGAGAAAGATGGGCACAGACTAGAAGAGAAAGGAAAGGGAAGGTGAAAGTCATGCTCAATTTTTTCTCAACTAAAAAATAGCAAGATTAAAAAATTTAAAAAATATTCTTTAAAAAAATTTTCTTAAAAAGATTTCTTTGTGACATGCTTTTAGCTAGGTATGTCCTCAAGATATCTCATTTAATCTATTATTATAATCAGGCTGTAAATTTGGAATAGGAGAAATACAAAAGATTAAAGCTGGAAAGCAAAGCATTTTAGAAAGCAGGATGAGTACCTGATTGGGTCCCCAACCCTACCCGTTTTTCCTCTTTTAAACCTGAAAAAACCCCTTACATACAGTAGTTGCTCAACAAGCAGTAGTTGAATTAAGTTATATGTCCTTATTTCCAAGTAGTGCTGAGTTATGGGGAATGAACGAAGATCAATAGTCCCACTCATTAACACTTCAAGTACTATCCCAAGGCCCATTTTGTTTGATTCAACTAGGGGTGGCTGAACATCTCCTTAGGGAAAAATGATATGTTAGGCTCCATAAGCCTCAATTTCCTCATCTGTAAAATGGGCACAATAATACTTCACTTATAGTTTGTTGCCAGAAAAAAAAAAAACTTGGTGGAGGCATCACTCTAAATGGCAGCAATTATTACTAATATGTAGAATGGGGAGGAAATGCATAAATTTGTATTAGTTTCAGGATAATTCAGTCTTGTTGAGGAAGATATGATATAAAGACTCTCAAAACAACTAGAGAATAACAAGAAAATCATAACTAACAAAGGCTGAATGGTCTGTTCCAGTTCTAATAAAAAAGTGCCTGCTGCAAATCAACATTTACTTAATCTTGTGAGCAAAGTTCAGTGCTAAATTATTGGTGTGAACAATAAAAAGAAATAGAAGTCATAGTCCCCACCTTCAAGGAGCTTAAAATCTGATTGGGAAGGAGCTTTCCTTTTTATGCATGAATCCTAATAGCCTAAGGAAGGATGTAAAAAGAATACCAAAATTAAGTGTTAGAGATAGTTGATAATGAGGATGAGATCTGGAGTGATGGGGAAGGCTTCGTGGGAGAAGCCTGAACTGAGGCGAGATCCAAAGAATGATAAGAATTGGCTAGGAAAATGCAGAATATTTTTCATATAAGAATAGAGGTGGGGTAGGGGGAAAGGAAAGAAATACTGACAGCCATCGCATCCTAGCCAGAACCCCTATGAAGGCTCCTCTGAATCTATTCCAACCTCCTCCATTTTTAAAAGCTATAAACAGAGGGATGTTATGATATGACGACTGTGGGCGGGCAGACCTCTTATTCAGTACGTTCTTTATAAAAGGAACCAGAATTAATATTGACGGAACATTCACTGTGTGTTGAACATTATGGTAGGTGCTGTGCCTATAAATCTCATTTAATCTCACAACTCTGAGATTTCCAATAAGAAAACTAGAGATTACATAATTTAACTGATTTTCTCAAGATCATGTAACTAGTAAGAGGCCAATTTAAGTTTCATGCTTACGTATGCCCAACCTCAGTCCACAGTCTTTTCTCTATAACATACCAACTTACACAGAAAAGTGTGAATCTAAAGATATTTAAGTCTTATTTTCTGTGTTACTCTATACTCAAAAACTAACATTCAAAATAATGTCTTTGACTTCTATTGACATTTAAAACAGTAACAATCAAAATAATCTATGCCTGTAAATTCTGTATTCTGCCACCAGGTGATAACAGAACCTTGGTCCTATGAGGATTACAAGGGAAACATTTTGTCTACATTATTTCGTGCATGTGCTATTCCATTCTCCAGGCTTGGAAGTGGTGTAGAGAGTGACTGATCTTCAGATGAAATTGTCTGCTAAAGTCCCAAAGCATTAATCTTTACAAATATTTCCAAATTTTATTTATTAAAAATCCACTGAGAACATAATTCCAGACTTCAGTAATTTTCAAACAATTCAATTACAGATTGCATTCAATGGATTATAGTTCATTGTTACTTTCTTTCTTTTTCTTTCTTTTTTTTTTTTTTTTTTTTGAGGCGGAGTTTCGCTCTGTCACCCAGGCTGGAAGTGCAGTGGTGTGATCTTGGCTCACTGCAACCTCTGCCTTCCTGGTTCAAGCAATTCTCTTGCCTCAGCCTCCCAAGTAGCTGAGATTACAGGCATGCGCCACCATGCCCGGCTAATTTTGTATTTTTAATAGAGACAGGATTTCTCCATGTTGGTCAGGCTGGTCTTGAACTCCCGACCTCAGGTGATCCACCTGCCTCGGCCTCCCAAAGTGCTGGGATTACAGGCGTGAGCCACCGCACCCAGCCAGTTCATTGTTACTTTCACACTGTACTGTGAGCTTGCATGGCAGAAATTGTACGTTATTTGCCTTATAACCCCAGCACATGGAATAACAGTACCTGGAATATGGTGGGCACTCAAGAAAAGATATAAATTATTGATTTCAAATAATTCAGAAAAACTTTTGAACCAACTGCTTAGGATATAATTATTTGGTGGTCAATGCTCTATTCACTAATACATAACTTTCTTTATCAAGTCATCCTCAATGCTGACTTATTATAAAAAGCCCTTTCCTGAGGTTGGTCACCAGCAGAAGCCTTAGATCAACAGCCCACGGCTGCTTTTCTTTCAGTGGTCAGGCACTTCCCTTCTGCCTTAGCCAGGGACATTCTACATTTATTATAAGCCCTGCCCTACTTGGTAGTCTAGTTTTCAACCCTCTTATGCCCAGAAAGGATGCTTCCTTTCTCTATGAGAGGCAAATAAAAAAATGTGAAAAACAAGAGAGGCATGCTATATAACTGTCAGAAAGAGGCAACTCTCCACTTGACCCTTTTTAGTTCTTCCCCTCTCTGACTCTAAAGCTGGGGAAATGATTTAACTACTTTTAAGCAGAAGAGTAAAGTTACACATTAATGCTGAGTAGCTCATTTCCCGTAGCAACCCCTTAGCAACAGCAGCTTGAAGTTCAAAATACCTCTGTGAAAAGGATCACATCTTTAATGAAGATGAGTACTTTTTTAATGTAAGGTTTTTGAACAGAAGTTTTAACATTACAACACCCAAAGCCTTATTTGCTACAAGTGCTTATTTCATGTTAACCTTCCTTTATGATATTATGAGGTAACCACAATGATGCTAGGCTTCTACAAAATTTGAGTGTCTAGAAAAGCCCTGGTCCTTCCCTAAAATTACTCACAAACATAACTTTTCATTTTTTTAACCAAGTTATCATTAATCCTAGGTCATTATAGAAATTACACTTAAGTTATTTTAAAAGGGTTATTGATATTGAACTCACTATTCAGTCTAACCACTTGCTATTCCTCCCTTACTGAGAAGAGTGAATAAAGAGTATTTACTAATTTTATTATTTGATACCTACTTTGCCCACTTCATTATCCATAAAATGGACAGTGGGATAATCAAATAATCATCACATTGATGATTTTTCCATTGTCAGTGAAATAAGAATGCTTGCAAAAAATTTTGCTAGCCTTCAAAAATCCTATGAATGTAAATGTGTGTCATATATGTTATGCATACCATTAAAACTTACATCTTGTTCAAGGATTTTGAAATGCTTACATCATCTTCAAGGTTTCACAACTCAAGTAATGTAAAAACTCCTGCTTGAAATTTTTTCTTTATTATTTGTTAGCACATGGGTACCTTGGGGCAAAAGGAAACAAAACACACAAGGACTTAGAACAGTAATCTTAATGGATATCTTCACTATTAAAAATTTATTATCAATGTATGTTTGCCAATTCCATGATATGGATAGCTAAAAGACAGATTCCCCCTATATCTTTGACGTAGTGTCAGTAGTTAGCCAAACTGAACCATCTACCTAACATGAATTTGTACACATTTGCATGTGTAAGAGAACAGAAGAACATACCTAGAACAATGGGCCTTATACACAGTAGGTGCTTAGTGCATGTTTGTGAAAGTAAGATCCATTTTAATTCACTAGGGAACATAAAGGAAGAGCCAGGAGACATCAAGGCCAGTTTCATCTCTGCTACTAGTAATTCTATGACCTCAGGCAAACCACTTCTCCTCTCTGGACCAGAACCTTCTTGAGTAAATAAGAAATGAAACTAGATGATTCCTGAAGTCTCTGCCAGTTCTAATATGTCAGAGTTTATAAATAAGTAGTTTTTAATTAGCAAACAACATTTTCAGTAGGGTTTACTCAGATTTTCAACTGACTTTACACTGTAATAATGCTGGCTAAAGGGAAATTAAGCTTTTGAAGAAGATTTTTAAATCTGCCTCAAAGAAAGAGCCGGGGTAGTAGCATGTTCCTCTAATGCCCAGTCTGGTCACGAGAGGTTTTGTTTTTTCTTTCTTTTTGAGAGAAGGTCTTGCTCTGTCACCCAGGCTGGAGTGCAGTGGCATGATCATGGCTCACTGCAGCCTGGACCTCTCAGGCTTAAGTCATCCTCCCACCTCAGCCTCCTGAGTAGCTGGGACTACAGGCCTTTTCCCCAACACCCAGCTAATTTTTATTTTTATTTTTAGTAGAGACAAGATCTCACTATGTTGCCCAGGTTGGTCTCAAACTCCTGGGCTCAAGCGATCCTCCTGCCTTGGCCTCTCAAAGTGCTGGGATTACAGGCATGCACCACTGTGCCTAACCAAGCTATTTTAATAAAATGCAGAACTGGAGATGGTTGGTTAAAATCATTAAAACCATGGGCTTTTAAAAGTCAGGGACCAGGACCTTGATTAAGTCCAAAGATACTCTCTGAATTTTGTGTCATATTTAAACTGGGGACAACAATAATGCCTAAACTTGTGAGGATTAGATGAGATAATCCATGTAAGGCATGTATTGTGGGGTGTAACATGCTGCTACTTACTCAAAAATGTTCACTATTTTTTATTAGGTTGAAACATGAAATTGTTTTTTAGGTTAAAAGCAGTCAAACGTGGTCAATTTCTTATGGTTTGCCCTATGTTCTGTTACTCCCCTGCCTAAAAATCTTTCTAAGATCCTTATTGCTTTTTTCAAGGCCAATTATTCAGTACGGCATTCAAGGCTCTTTAAAATTTTGTCTTTATTTAAGTTTCCTGATACCTCCAAGACATTCCTTTCCCTATACACAGCTCTAGATATGACCATCTATTCTCTCACAACACTTGTCTTTATGCCTGTAATTTCTTCCATCTAGAATGCCTTCTCTGTATGGAAAATCATATTCATCCTTCAAGGCCTCAGCCTCACTAAGCAAAATGATCTTCTTTGTTATCTGAGCTTTCATACTAGCTTGTTCTTTCTGACTCCACAGAACTCATGTCAGAGCATTACCACAGTTGTTTACGGGTCTGTCTCTCCCACCTGTTTTCAAGGTACTCAAGAGCAAAGACTGTTCTTATTTGTCTTTGTTTCCCTCCAGCTGAGCACAGTGGCTGTCATAGTTGGTGCTCAATAAATATTTGCTAAAGTAAAATAAATATATTCATATGGCAGGCTGAGATATGGCCTCTCTTAGAAATACATGAAGAGTAGATGAATCCCAAGGATGACTCAAAAACTTTTGGAATCCACCTTTCCACAAAATCATTTTTTTCTGTTGTGAGAAAGCTCTACCAACGGAAGGTATTATTCCTCTTAGAAATGTTCAAGTGACTAAAATCAGAAACTCGAAAGTGGAAGTTGCTCTTCAAACTCAACAAATCCATTGAGCTCATGCTATGAGCTTTCAACACAGGCACTGTTTTATTGATAGAGATGGGGATGCTCTGGCTACAACCTTATTTGGTGAATAATGTGACGGTTTGCCCCCTGAATTTGTGCTTCCATAGCTGGAAAGTCTTAGTCACAGAGAACTCCAATAGGTCTGGATGGTGTGAAAGCTATGGAAAAGAGGAAGGCACTGCTGATATTGTAGCCCATATTCTCAGATCTATACAACCAGGTCTCTGGGAAAACCCTAGGAAGTGCAAGTACTTAACAGAGTATCTATATAGGCAGTGACATTAGTTAATATGTGTGGCTGTATGTGTGTGTGTGTGTAAAAATTATATATTATATAAATATAAAATTAGTTTAAAAGGAGACTATATAGTTTTACACTACAGGAGTATCAGGCTATTTAGCTAATTTGTAGCTTCAGATGATTTATTTTCAACCTTTTTTTTCTTTTTTATAGCAAGTGCTTTTTTCTAAGCAAAATATTATGAAAACCCTCAATATATAAACAAATAGAACAGTGCTGTTCTCCTAGTTGGGGGAAGGGTGGGCCTCATTAATGCCTACCCCACACCCACGCAGTTCCTAAGGAACTCAGCAATCAGTAAAGGGACTTATCTAGTCTAGTATAAATAATACTATAATGAAAGAAAAGTGAACTGGGAGTCAAAAGACGGGTTTGAGCACCAATGCTGCCGTAAACTAGCTATGTGACCTTAGGCAAGTCCCTGAGCACTTCCACTGAACTCAAGCCTCCTTGTCTGTTATTTTCATTTTGAAGCATTCAGTCATTGCTATCTGAAATCCCAAATGGAATGTCTCCATTGCTGAGGCCTCCCAAGCATACAGGATAACAGTGCTTACTCCTCTCACACTTTTCACCTACCTGAATGCTTCACAATTAATCTTCCTCCGAATAATTTTTTTTATTATTATTTTTTTATTTTTGAGATGGAGTCTCACTCCGTCGCCCAGGATAGAGTGCAATGGTGCAATCTAGGCTCACTGCAACCTCTGCCTCCCGGGTTCAGGAGATTATCTCACCTCAGCCTCCCCAGTAGCTGGGATTACAGGCACCTGCCATCAAGCCCAGCTAATTTATTTATTTATTTATTTATTTATTTATTTATTTATTGTAGAGACAGGGTTTCACCAAGTTGGCCGGGCTGGTCTCGAACTCCTGACCTCAGGTGATCTGCCCACTTTGGACTCCCAAAGTGCTGGGATTACAGGCATGAGCCATCACACCCAGCTAATTATTCTTTACTTATAGAAACATGAAGTACAACAATTAACAATGGAAACACTCAAGTTTGACAACACAGGTTTCACAAATACTGAGAGAGGGCTGGGAAAATAAAGCTGGTATCTTGATCCTGTCTTGAATTATTACCATCAACGTATCTTTACCTTCAGTTTTAAATGAATACCATCTACCAGCCACAGTAACCTTTCTTAAATTCCAATCTAACCACATTGCTTCCTTGATTAATAGCAATCAACATCCACCCCTTCTGCTGAAACTGTCAATGAATGGTCTATAAAGTGGTACCCAGCAGACCTCTAACAAAACCCACAAATTTATAGGACATGGTTTTATGACATAAATGTATGTAGATTCATAGTCTTCTTTTGCATGTCTGTCCCACTTGAGCTCCTTGAGGATGGGGCTTATATCTGATTCATAATAAATGATAGTTAAATAAATTAACAAATGCAACCTTTCCTAGACAAAGCTTCCAAATCGCTGCTTTTCTCATTTTTAAGCTGCAGAAAGCTATAGGTAGCTCTGTTGTGTTTGCAAAGTGCTTTCAGACAATACTGCTATCTATTGAGCATTTACTGTGTCAGATACTACTCTTAGCTCTTTATATGTATTTACTCACTTAGTTTCACAACAATCCTATAAGGTAGGTACTGTTATTATTATCTCTGCATTGACATATAAGGAAAACTAAGAAAGAGGTTAAATAACATACATCATTTACTCATTATAATCATTCAACAAATATTCACAGAGTATTTACTGTGTTATTCTTATAACCACGAGAAAGCTAGGATATGTACAATCATCACTTTGAATTAAGGGCAAAGGAGAGACCACGTTTTGTTCATACTTACGGGTCCCTGAAGTGTCCAGAATAGAATCACATTCAATAAATATCTGCTAAGTAAGTGTTGAATTAGTGCTCCCAATGTCTGGTAATGGGGCTTTCTACATCAACCACTTTTCTTGACTGATGCTTCTCTCGGGCAAACCCAGATATTTTTGAGAGTGCAAGGAGTCTCTATTAATAATTACAACAAGACAACAGGCATAAACCAGTAATGGCAAACCAGGTCACATGGTCACATTACCTATGACCAATTTTACCTGATAGCCACTATGGTTTCCAACAGAGGGATGAGGGTAGAGGATGCAACAATGTGCACCCTAATGCAGGTGGTTCAAAAGGACATCAGTTGACAGAAGCCCTGGTTAAAATGTGCCAGTATGGTCAATCTTCTCAAGACACTGAGCACAGTAATGTGTGGGGAGAATTCAATCAAAAGTTTAAAAACAAACAAACAATAATAAAAGAAAAGAAAGAAAGGCCACCATCCAGAAATCTCAATGATATCCAAACTTTATAAGAACACTCTCTGGCAGTACATTTAGGGAAACAACATTTGGGCAAATTAAAACTTGCACCTATGTATGTTTCTTTGCCCAAGCTATTCTCTCTCTGTCTGGAACACTTGTCCCCACTTATCCTTGATGATCATAAATCAAGTTCAAGAATTAATTTCAATAAATTCATTCAGCAAATATTTATTGAACACCTACTATGTGCCAGACATTGGGGATTCAACAGTAAACAAGGCACACAAAATCCCCTGCCCTGGGAATTTATATTGGAGTGAGAATAGGCAGAATTAATGGTTCCCTATTTGAGCTCTCACAGAACTTGTTCCACAGGTTACTCTTGTCCTTATTGAATTGTGATTACTAGCTTCCCTGTCTACCTTCCACTCAAGACTGTAAGCTCTTTGACGTCAACAACTTCTGTGCCCTCCATGCCTGGCATGGTGCTGGTTTACCTAACTGAACTAAAGTCCATATATTTTTCCTCTCATGGTGCTACATCCTGCTCATATTCTCTTGGGCTCACTGCTTGATTTCTGAATATTTAAAAATCACCAAGCAGTCCCTTGGCACTCACAATGTACTGTTATTAGTGTTTACAGTCAGACTAGGGAGCCCACGCCTAATGATGAAAACATGGGCAGAATAAGGCAAGAGTACATAATCAAAGACTAAATTGTGTGGGTCAGACCCAAACCACTGCCTAAAGTCAGAGAATTGAGATGTCGCATGAGTCCAGGAACAAGGGTGCACACAAGTATTACAGAATATCTTCTTTTACTTTTAGCTCAGCAATGCTGCCAGGGTGCCCCCGTTGGGTTCATTACTCTCTAAAACCATCCCGAAACATGCCAGAACATCCCTGCATAGGCCACATTTTATGCCTTTGCACAAGTTGGTGTCTCGCCTGGGATGCCCCCGACCCCTTGTGTGTCTGATGGTCATACACCTATAAGATTCAGCTCAAATGTCACCTTTGTGACATCATCCCTGACCTTCTAAGGAAGAACTTACCATGCTCTTTTTGTGTTTCCAATCCTGGCCCTTCCCCACACATATACCCATCATAACTTGTCTATATATGTACTTGTATCCATCATTTATTTATCTCTATTTCCATCTTTCCTACTAAGCTGTGAAGGCAAAGACCCTTATTTATCTCTGTATCTGAAGCACAATGCCTGGTACAGTTTGTGGATGGACAGATGGATTAATGGATCAACAGATGGACAGAGTCAGTTACAGTGAACTAGAATGGCCAAAAAACCCATCAGCTGATACAATCTTGTGTGGTCTAGGCGAAAGAGTTTGGAAGTATAGAGATTTGGGTACTCATCTTGCATACATGTCTCACAGACCTTAAGCGAGCCACTTAATCTCTCTGCACCTCAAGAAGTCTCATCTATTAAATGGGGATAAAACATGACATCCCTACCTCACACTACAATGGCTGGGGATTTTAACATGAGATGATAGAAGTGAAAGTGCTTAGAAGAAAATGTTGTTTCAATACAACATGGTTTCAGGAAAAGGAAAGCATTAGCAACTTTAACTTACTTGGAGATATTTTTAATGGAGGTCAGTGCTTCTTTTCCTTCCAAACTGACACATGGCTGTGCCTTTTTAAAGTCTGTTACGGAACAATAGGTGACAAATTTCTGTGTTGGGAGTCTTTGGGGGTGAGTTTCTTCTTCTCTTGCTAGACGTGAGGAAGAGGATTTGTCCTCTTTATGGGTCTGGGGTTTCAACTCTTGAGGTCTAAACACTTCTGATGGCCTTGAACTAATTTTGGCCACCATCGACAGAATGGGAGTGGAAAAATCCCTACCACATCTGCCTTGTCAGGGGGTGGAGGAGAGAACTTTCTAAATAGCCTCATTATTGGTCCCAGCTGAATTCTGCTCCTGTTCCATGATGCCAGCAAAAGCATTTTAGTAAGACGCTGCCAGCATCAAAAGCAGATCCACTTACGGTTTCCTGTAAGCGTATCTGCAATGGCAGAAGGTGGCGAGCAGCCAGGTGTGAGCGTGCGTGCTAAAAATCTCCAATACGTCAAGCTGGAAGAACAATTCATGAAATGAAATTCAACATTCTATTTCTACTCCAAGAACTCAGTTTAAGTCACCGGAAATTCAGATGGGTAATTCAGCTCCAATTCCCTTCTGCTTTACTGAATCAGAGAACCTCAAAGATAGAAAGGTCCTCTGCATTCTTCTAGCTTAAATTTCCCCCACCTTACTCCAGTAGGACTTGGAAAATAAGGGGTCACTGGACTCTGCTTACATACCTTCAGTGAAAGGGAGCTCATTCACTACTTTTCCAATAATTTGCCTCATTTTGGGCTACCTCTGACTGCGGTGCAGGGACTGCCAAGTGTCCACCCAGTCCTATTTCCTTTTCTGCCTAGCCATACAGCTAGAATACAGTGGGGCTGAGTGATTGAGCTCCGGCCATTGGAATGTGGGTGGAAGTGATGCACATCACTTTTAAGACTAGTCTCTAACAATTTCTCTATGATGTGCCATCTTCACTCTCTCTCTTCCTTTGCCTACCAAGTAGATGCAAAGGGTACAAAGGAGAACTCTGAGGCCCTAAAGGAGAACAGAGCCACTAGATGAGAGGCACCTGGGTCCCTGAATGACTGAGTGGAGTATAGCATCCTATGGACCCATGCTGAACTGTGAAATGAGCAAGAGCTAACCCTGACTGTGTCAAACCATTGAGATTTCAGGGTTGTTTGTTACAGTAATTGGCCTATTCTGACTAATATATACTGTTCAATTTTTTTTTTCAATTGCAATACTAGACTAAGTGTCTTGAAAGTTACTACATCACCATCTCCCTTAGAAGCCTAGTGGCACACATTGTATAGAATATTTTAGAATAGCTCTTTCTCTACACTACTGGCTTCTGAAAAGTGAAAAAGAGTAGTGTGAGAATGCAGAGGAAGGGGGTAGGAGAAAGGAGAGGTGGGGATTTTTTCAAGGACTAGTCTTTTTATATGTGAGAGTTTCATTTATAGCTTACAACAAACTTGAGATAGATAAAATCACTAACTTTTTAACAGGAGGAAAAAAGAGACTCAGTTGTCATACATAACCTCTGCCTGAGCCTGTTTAGCCTCTGTCATTCCCCACTGATTTCAGCACCAGAACCTTCCAACTGTCCTCTGTGGCAGACCTTTTTACAACCTCCACCCAACTCTCTGATGCCCAAATACCAACCTGAGAATTCCTATACTTTACATGTTGGGACCTCAAATGCTTTTGAGGCTTTTACATGACTCTTAAACATCTGAATCTCTTAGGCGTTGAGTTTCCCCATCTGGCTATTCTTCTGCAGGTGACCCTAGGAACCGTCTGTATTCCCACTGTACTTGGCCTTATCCTTCCCACCCCTGATGGTATCACTGAGAAAATACACCTCATTCCCCAAGCCCACGCTAAAAACAGAAAGGGTTAGAAAGATGGTTTTTTGTTTTTTGTTTGTTTGTTTTAGAGATAAAGTCTCACTCTGTCGCCCAGGCTGGAGTGCAGTGGTGCAATCATGGCTCACTGCAGCCTCAACCTCCTGGACTCAGGTGATCCTCCCACCTCAGCCTCCTGAGTAGCCAGGACCACAGACACATGCCACCATGCCTGGCTAATTTTTAAAACTTTTTTGTAGAGATGGTGTTTTGCCATGTTGCCTAGGCTGGTCTCAAACTCCTGAGCTCAATTGATCTGCCCACCTTGGCCTCCCAAAATGCTGGGATTACAAGAATGAGTCACCACACCTAGCCAGAAAGAGGTTTTTAAAAAGCCAACATGAGAGAATGTTGAAATTAAACCAAAGTTTTTAAAAATCAAGTTTGTTTTTTCAAAAAAACTATATTAGAAGGTACAGAGATCATCCTGGAATCTAAAAAGGAAAACCTTTAAAGTTAACAATGCCTTACATCTTTAATTTAATTTAGCCAGTTTTTAAGAATCTGCATTAGGTTACCCTCCTCTCTGCTCCTGTAGCCTCCTTGCTTCCTTTCCAACATTACAGCCCTTTTCACACTGTAATGATAAGTTCTTATGAGTCTTTCTTTTCTGCTACATTGAGAATTCTACAAAGCCAGCGACCATTTCTGGTTCTCTTTATCCTAGTGACTGGCAGTGTGGCAGAATGGCGGATAATATTTGAGGAGCTCATTCACTTTCAGGTGGCTTGTAGTCAGAGCTGCTCAATTCCTTTGCTGTGGAGACTTCAAGCCTTGCCATGGGTTAGCACCATCAGCTGTGAAATGGGGCTATTGCTAGACTCAGCCTTCTGCAAAGAACAATTGCCAAGCCTGGTAAAACCAACACAGTCATTTGAATGGATCTGAAACACCCTGGCAGTCACTAAGGCTTAACTGATTATTCTGCTGTCTAGTATTTGGAGAACAGGGTCTGTGGGAGGATATGAGAGGTGCTGACTGGCTGTGTGGGTGGGTGCCCTTTCTTGTTTCCTGGCTTCTAGTGCACCGAGTGATTGAAGGAGCCTGTCTATCCTTGGAGATGAAGGGCTTTTGGTGGTTAATGCTATAGAAGTAGCATTACCATTCTGCCAAGACCTTCAGGCCAGCAGTTGGCTTTCTTTGATTTCAAGAAGTTTAAGAGGCTTGGGACCACACATTTTTAGATCTCTTACTTTGTCCGAGATTGAATTAAATATTCGTTAATATTTGTTTCCAATTTTGACATCAGCTGAATCCATCAGTTCAAGGGCACCAACTCTTCAGTGGGGAAGATGAGAGCCTCTGAGTTTTGTTAGAGATGCTCGAGGAAAAGTTGGTCTACAGATAGAAGAGATGAGCTGGAGGACCTCCCAAAAGGATTCTATGGTTCAGATGGTTTACACAAATGTTAATGAATAAGTCAGCATGGAAGGGAAGACAAAAATAGTGCAGTGATGCTGTTCAGGTATTATGTGTATTCGCCTATAATTAAGTGATTTCAGGAACTCAGAAGTGAGTTCCCAGTCCAGCAAAGGCCTCTGGCCACAGTGACATCACAATGCTAATATATCCTTCACTCCTGGTTCAGTGAAGGACAGGCCAGCTTTCATCAATTTCATTTGTGAGCCAGGATGTTTCCAGTCAACAATAAGCTATTCCTTACAATTAAAGCAAGTGCTCTGAAGCACTCACAACTCAATCACACAAAAGGCACACAGAGCCTCAAAGGAACTATCAGAATGATTTTTCTAAAACACAGATCAGCCTCAATGATCTTGTAATTTGTATGTCTACTGGGTCTAGAAACCAGAATTTAGTGAGGCAATAAAGCTTTTATATTAGTCAACTTGGGCTGCCATAGCAAAATGCCATAGACTGGGTGGTTTAAACAAAAGAAATGTATTTTCTTGTAGTTGTGGAGGCTGGAAGTCTGAGATAAGGGTGCCAGCATGGTTGGGTTCTAGAGGGGACTCTCCTCCTAGTTTGCAGGTGACTGCCTTCTCACTGTGTCCTTGCATGGTGGAGAGAAAGATCTCTCTCTTCCTCTTCTTATAAGGCCAACAATCCTATCAGACTAGGACCCTACCCTTATAACCTCATTTAACCTTAATTACCCCCTAGAAGCCTTATGTCCAAATACAGTCACATCAAGAGCTAGAGCTTCAATATGCAAATTTTGAAGACACAATTTAGTCCACAGCAAATTTCGTGTAGAAAATTCAGTGTCTACTTGAGGTGGTTACATTTTAGGTCACATCGCTAAGGTGAAATTTATAAAAATTAAAATATATTTATCTTCAATAGGTTATTTTAGCTAAGTTTAAAAAATTACAATCTAGAAGACATAGTCTGTTGTACATAGCCACAGTTGTAAACTATACACCTCTGAAGATTGTGAGAAAAGAGACAGTAGAAAGTACTAGAGTGGAAGACATGAACAGCAAGCATCTTTGCTCTGTCACTAATTAGCTCTGTCACCTTGGCTAAGTCCCTAGCCCTTTCTGTACCTCTCTGCTTCCTCATTATATTGGTTTAAAAAAGAAAATAAATTAATTTAAAATAAGCCATGTTTTAAAATTCCATTTCTGGTTGGCTGTTTTGGGGATCCATTCAGTACAGTGATTAGAAAAAGATTATCCTGCTCCAAGGGGGTTTTCACATGGAAAATAATAAATGATGAAGTAGATATCCTTGAACCATGGGTTCATTTTCTTTAGTTTTAAGCCCAAAAGATAATTGATTGACTCTCTAAGCCCACCCTCTTCCTCAGTACTGGCATTCTCCCTTTGGAAAAATAGATGGGAACAATGGGAATCTCTTCCTTTAGCTAAAGAACAGCAGAGGCCAAGGAGTGACTTGAGGGGCTCAGAATGAAGAACTGGCCTTGGATCTG
Organism: Homo sapiens; assembly: GCF_000001405.40. Taxonomy (NCBI): domain Eukaryota; kingdom Metazoa; phylum Chordata; class Mammalia; order Primates; family Hominidae; genus Homo; species Homo sapiens. Next base: position 50,086,892 of record NC_000001.11, on the reverse strand, counting down.
CAGAGTCCCCGAGAGAATGCACTCACACTACAGCAGTACCTATTCCTTCCAGAATATAATACACAACCACCCCTCTCTGAAAAGCAAACAACAAAGAACACTAGCTCCAATCCAATTATCTGGGGGTGGAGGGTGCGGGGTGTGGAGGGTGCACCACTCCCAGGGTGGTAGGAGGCAAGGGTTGGAAAGCTCATAGCAAGAAGAGCTCTGAAAATATATCTCTTATATAGAATGCATGCTTCTGGGTTTAAAACATTAATTCCATTGCAGAGAGTCACTGAACAATTTCCCAAGGATTCCCAAGATCTCTTAAGCCATAAAAAGCATCCTTATTATATTAGTATGCTAAAGGGTTCCTCCGCATACTATTCCAGGAGGCAGAGCAGAGAGAGTATATATATATATATATATATATAAAAGCTGAATGGTTCCAAGGAACTAAACAAAGAAATACCTTTAAATCTTATCTAGTTATACCTTATTTTGAAATCTATTTTTTTCAAAGCCAAACTAGAAAAATTTCCCAATTTCAAGGAAAATGCTGTGGAACCAGGTATTTACATTTCATACAATTTCAACATTCCTTTATACAAGTAGAAAGGACCTTCTAAGCAAGACATGCTTATCAAACCATAAAATAACTAGGAAAAAAAAGTAACCCATTAGCCAATCTTGGACTCTTATAAGCTTAAAAGCAATTAACAAGGAAAAATATTGACGGAATGGCCTACATGTACATTTAAAACTTCAGGAAGTCTAAAACAGAAAAAGTTTCAGGGAAGACAAGCTGGAAAAATATTTACCAAAGATACAAAAAAAAAGATCACTGCTTTTACTACTTAAAGCACTCACATAAATGTATTACAAAACACAATACAGACTCAGACAAAACACATGAACAGTTACCCCAAATAGGACTTACAACTGGTGAACAAACATGTGGGAAAACATCTACCCTCACAACTAGTTTTAAAACTCATACATGAAAATAATGCTAAGGGGATATCTCTGCATCTATCTCCCCCTTCGCTGCCTCCCTAAGAAGGAGGCTTGCAGCTGTAAATACAGTCAGGTTCAAGAGCTTTATATTGGGTTAAAGTCTCAGAGGATAAAGTATTTACTATGCCATGCATTAAATATGATGAATTTTTAAAGCGATTGCTAATTAGATATCTGAATAAAAATGGTACCTCATCTGTCAAGGAGATAATATTGAAATGGCATTTGGACAGGTCTATGCCAGCAATGACAACGCAAATATGCTTTCTTTGCTCTGAATAGGTCCTTCCTTACTATTTGGATATAGATTTAGAGGAAAAGGAGCAAGGGGCAACTGTATTTTTAGACAATGGCTACCTCTAGGCCTAGCAAAATAAAGTTTTCAGAAGATCCTGCCCAGATTATGAAGGCTGAAAATAGAGCCAATCTGGGCACCTCTACTTGCCGCTCTTCTCTAGAACCCTTGGCCACAAGCCATCCTCCTACCTTGGCCTCCCAAAGTGCTGTGATTATAGGTGTACGCCATGGCACTGGCTACTGCTGTTCTCTGTATTACATTCTCTGTGTGACCTCAAAGGAAAAGGAGTCCAGGAAAGGATGTGTGTGTTCTTGGAACTCTGGCCAAATGTCAACTTTATATATCATCTCTTTAGCAAATGAAATTTACTGAGCACCTACAGTGTGCAGGCATGGTTTAAGTCACCTATCAAAATAGCTAAGACTTTAAAAACTGATGATGCTGGCAAGGATGCAGTGAAACTGGCACCCCCACACAGTGCTTATAGTTGTATACACTTTGGGATGCTGGGATGAAATTTTTGCAGTAATGTGAAGCAAGAGCCCTCAAAATGTTCCTACACTTTGATCTAGTTTGAACTTCTATGAAACTATCATAATGATAGAGAAAGTGTTTTATATAGAAAAATGTTCAATGCAGCATCATGTATAAGCCCATGTTAGGCCCAGACCTATAAAGGTGAAGGTGATACAATAACACAATAAAAAGGCAAATAAAATGAACTAATGGTAAGTTATAAGAAGTGCTATGAAGGAAATCCACCAAGTGCTAAGAAAGAAAACAGGACCTATGTGAGATAAGACTTTCAGGGAAAACCTATATATTGAAGCTGACACCTACCTAAAGGATGAGAAAAAACTAACCAATGAGCCATTAAGATCTAAGACAAGAGTGTTTGAGGCAGAGGAAATGGCCAGTGCAAAGGTCCCAAGGCAAGAACATTCTTGACTTGTTCCACGAACAGAAAAAAGGCCAATGTGACTGGAGTGTGGCATACAAGACAGAAGGGGGCAGGTATGAGATGAAGGCAGGGAGGGAGGCAGAGCCATATTATATAAGGAAAATGCTTATACCATTATGTGAAGGGTAAATGGGAGGGTCAAAACTGTGTTCACAGTATGATCTCAGCCATGAAAAAATATGCATAAAAAAAGACTTGGAGGAAACAATCTAGAATGTTAACAGTGGTTATGTGGGACAGTATAGGCTTTGGAACTAGGGGAAAACAGAATGTTGTAAACTAAGCAGGACAATTATTTAACCTTTCTAAGCTTAGTTACCAAATCTATAAAATTAGAATTATGTCACCTACCCTACAACAGAGTTGACACATGGTAAACATGCCTTATTTAAAGAACTTTAAAAAAATTACTACTATAATTACTCTTGGGTAAGAAGATCATGGATGATTTATCATCTTTATACTGTTTTATATGTTCCTAATTGTTAACACTGAACATGTGCTTCTTTCATAATCAGAAAAACACAAACTTGATTTTTAAAAATGTCCTGATGGCTAAAGAAAAATTAATTACGCTGTGTTAAGTCAAATGCCTTTCCACTGCAACAAATGTATTTCCATTGGCCTACTAGGCATTCAAGGCAGCTCTCAACAATGAGGGGAATGCAACATTTATGAGGGACCTTTTAACAATAAAGACTCAGCTATGCAAAATGCAGAAACTCACAATTAACTTGAAATACCAAACAAGTAGTTATTGACCTTTCAGGAGTGTCAACAATGCCACAGGTTCTTTACAAAATGCAAAATTAAGATACGTGGCTGCCCAGTGTGGTCCTAAAACAATCTTCAGAAACTTCTAAAAATTCACAGTAAGCATTCTTTTCCTTTCTATTTCAATACTGATTTTCAGATTTCTCAGAAAGTGGGAAAATAGCAGCTGTGCCCTGGAGAAATGCTTGATTTGCTAACTTACTTTTTTGAATATGGAGTTTTCTCCCCAAATTTTATGTTTAATGACAACAAAACTAACTAGTAGACCCAGAGAAGGCTGATGACCATTGGTATCCACCTGCAGGTAGTTAGATACATGCTCATCCAGTGAGAGAGGAAGGAGCTTTGAAGTCAGACATACCTGATTCAAGTTATAGTTCAACCTTAAAGACTCTAGATGACTTACATAGTACATAACCTCTTTAAGCTTCCAATTTCCTCACCTGTGAACTACTTTGATGAATTAGTAATAATGTACCTAAAAAGTCTTATAGAATGCCTGGTATCTGGCAGGTGTTCAAGAAATGGCAGTTGGGGGAGGCTGAGTTGGGAGGATCACTTGACATTGGGGGTTTGAGACAAGCCAGGACAACAAACCAATACCCAGTGTCTCAAAAAATAAAAAAAATAAAAAATATTAGTCAGGTAAAGTGTTGTGTGCTTGTATTCCCAGCTACTCAGGAGGATTACGTGGGAAGATCACTTGAGCCCAGGAGTTTGAGGCTACAGGGCATTATGATCATGCCAATGCACTCCAGCCTGAGTGAGAGTGAGACTCCATATCTTAAAAAAATGGCTGTTGGTATTATTCTCTAGGAGAGCTAAACTTCCTGGCCAATGCTTTTTCATCTTTCCCTATCAAAAAGGTCAAAATCCCAGGGTAATCCCCATTCTGAAAGGCTGGCTTTTCTGAAGTTCACATTGGTTCACTGGGTACAAGGCACAATGAAGGTTGGTTTGTAAATACAGGTGGGTAGGTACATAGGTACATAGTTAGGCAGACAGGTAGGTAGCTACAGAGAAAAGGAGGGAAGGAGGAAAGGAGACAGGAAAGAAAGTCTGTTCCATAGTTATAGATCAAATGCCTAATTCTTACTAGCAATCTCATGTATGGAAATGAAGACCATGTCTTTCAAGCCAAAAATCAAGGCATAAGTTCTAAAAAGAGTGCTCTAATGGAGACAATAGATGAGAATAGGTAAAATCATGACTTCTATAAAAAGTTGTCCTAGTCCAACTTACAGAATAGGAGAAAATTTTTGCAATCTATCCATCTGACAAAGGGCTAATACCCAGAATCTACAAAGAACTTAAACAAATTTACAAGAAAAAAACAAACAACCCCATTAAAAAGTGGGCAAAGGATATGAACAGACACTTCTCAAAAGAAGACATTTATGTGGCCAACAAACATATGAAAAAAGGCATCACTGGTCATTAGAGAAATACAAATCAAAACCACAATGAAATACCATCTCATGCCAGTTAGAATGGCGATCTTTAAAAAGTCAGGAAATAACAGATGCTGGAGAGGATGTGGAGAAATAGGAATGCTTTTACACTGATGGTAGGAGTGTAAATTAGTTCAACCACTGTGGAAGACAGTGTGGCAATTCCTCAAGGATCTGGAACCAGAAATACCATTTGACCCAGCAATCCCATTACTGGGTTTATATCCAAAGGATTATAAATCATTCCACTATAAAGACACATGCACATGTATGTTTATTGTGGCACTGTTCACAATAGTAAAGACTTGGAACCAACCCAAATGCCCATCAATGATAGACTGGATAAAGAAAATGTGGCACATATACACCATGGAATACTATGCAGTCATAAAAATGGACGAGTTCATGTCCTTTGCAGGGACATGAATGAAGCTGGAAGCCATCAGTCTCAGCAAACTAACACAGGAACAGAAAACCAAACACTGCATGTTCTCACTCATAAATGGGAGTTGAACAATGAGAACACATGGACACAGGGAGGGGAACATCACACACCAGGGCCTGTCAGGGGGTGGGGGTACTAGGGGAGGGGTAGCTTTAGGAGAAATACCTAATGTAGATGACGGGTTGATGGGTGCAGCAAACCACCATAGCACGTGTATACCTATGTAACAAACCTGCACATTCTGCACATGTATCCCAGAACTTAAAGTATAACAATAAAAAATTTTCAAAATAAAATAAGAAAGTTGCCCCAGTTGTAGAAAAGCATGTAAATGACTCTATAAAACCCATCCCCACTGCAAGATTCAAAAGGGCTACATCCATTAGCATCACCCTGGTGTGCTTATTAAAGGCAGATTCCTGGGCTCTAGCCCAGACACACTGAATCAGAATCTGGATGAATGGCTCAGAAATCAGCATTTTAACATAGGTCAGCAGATGATTCTTAGGCATGGCATGAGCCTAGGGGAAATGGAACTTAAAGTGCTAGTGAAAGCTAGTGTGCATCTAGCACTTCATCCACCAGAGACCGCTCTTAATCACATGTGGCCTGTCTCCATGTGCTGTTCATAACCTTCACTCTGGGTATTCTGTATTCTTGAAGAACCATCTGATTTACCAGAGACAAACTGAATTCAGTTTGGGGCATGCCTTGCCACATTCAAATTTTAAAAATATGTAATTATATGCATATGGCAGCTTGACTAACCAGTACAACAGACAGTACAGAAAACTGCTCTCTCAATTAAGGTTTATGATGATTTTATGGACTTGCCATCTTTGGGCTATTTTGGCACCTCCACAAGAGGGCAGTCAGGGGAAAGTTTTCCTTTTGTCAGAAAGCCTACCTTTAGAAGCTCTTCTAATCCTTGAATCAAAAGATTCTGGTTCTTCTTAAAGCCAAGAACAAAATGAAATATCAGATATATTAAGTCACACTTTTAGAGATACATATAACCGAGTATCGACTCTGCAAGATGAAAGTTTTAAGTACAAAGGCTTTGCATATAACTTCTCCCATTCTCTCTCTACCCTGATCTTCTCACCCCTCCAACTAGTCCACGAATTTATTTCCTTCCATCCTGCAGCTCACTGTCTTGGAGGAAAGGCAGCACAGAACAGCAAGTGTCATTGTGGGGAAGCCAGGGAAGGCTGTCCAGTGGAGGTAACATCTGAACTGAGACCTGAAGGATGCATAAGCAATGAGAAAGCTTTCTGCAGAAAGGAAACGACATGCCCAAAGACACAGCAGCATAAAAATTCTGGCATATTTAGGGAACATAAGAGCTTTGCTAAGACTTTAGATTTTCTGATGGAGATGTCAGGGAGCTACAGAAGATATTTCATCAGGGAAATGACACAATGAGATTTGTGAGTTAGAAATATATACACATATATATTTGAGAGAAATCAAATGATGATGGAATTCAGAGAATGATTGCCTGACCACATCAGTATGTGTGTGAGTGTGTGTGTGTGTGTGTGTGTGAAATCAACAACATATTACACCTTTGAACTCCCATACACAGTTCTTTTCTATAAGCAGCTAGTCCCTGGAATTGACTCATAGTTGCTCAATATTCTTGATCTTTAGAACATTCATTTTTCCTGTTGTCAGCTTCTGCTAAGATATTCTGACGTCTGAGCCTTACAAGCCTATCCAGGATCAGTACAAAGTTGGGAATGCTAGTGCCAGTACTGATTTACATTTAGTTAACTTCATTGATGGGAATTGTTAATGTTAGCAATGTTTAAAGACCGCACTTAAACTTTCTCTGAGACTGTATGGAATATAAAGTCTGAAGATAGATAGACAGTCAAGAAAGTGCTTCCAGCTGTTCTAACCATCCCAGATTAAGGTCAGAGTTCAGAACAGTCATTTCAGTGGAAAGGAAATCAAATCAAACCAACCCTAGAGGTTTTAAAATAGGATGGCATACGCACGTTTAAGATGAGCTTAATAACAAAAGAGAGAGGGAGAAGGGTGTCTTTGGGAAGTGAGAAGAATAAAACAAGGGTGTATACTAACTGCATGAGTTTTATTGAGAAGCTGCTCTAAAAACACAGAATCAACTCAGTTGAAGAAGTATTTACCCAGCCCCAGTAATATTACTTTTAACATTAACAACAACTAAAACCTTAAGTTTAACACCTTACAGTATGCTTTTACATGTATCAACCTTCCTGTGAAGTTGTTACTTGAGTAACTGGGTTAACCAACTTGGTTTCTTGGGTTACTGGGAGGCTGTGATGCCTTCCAAGTCCTCCTCTGAAACAGAATAACTTTAGTTTAGACAACCCTCAACTGTCAACTCTCTTTGAAACTGCCTTGACTGAGAGAATTGTCTTTCCCAAGGTCATGCCCCCTTCTTGAGGTGTCCACATCCAGTGAGTGATCAACATAGGGTATAAAGACCTGACACCCTCACCCTGACTCAGGACTATTTTGAAAGGCTATCTTAGCTTCAGAGCTTCTCATGGAAGGGGCTGAGGCCTTCATTAAAAATGTACTGTAACCTCTCTTCTCCCTTTGCCTGATCCTGCTTCCTTCCCTTCTCTTCCCCTGTGATGATCCCAAGAACGCTCCCTAATAAATCTCCTACATGCTAGTCTACATCAGAATCTACTTCCTGGGGAATACAACTTGTGACAGTTATTATCCCAGTTTTAAAGATGGAGAGCTAGGTGTAGTGGCACACACCTGTAGCTCTGGCTACTTGGGAGGCTGAGGCAGGAGGATCTCTTGGGCCCAGGAGTTCGAGACCAGTCTGGGCAACAAAGCAAGACCCCATCTAAAAAATAATAATAAATAATTACAAATTAAAAGTTGCAGAAACTGAACATCTTAGATGGCAAATGAATCACCCAGACTTCATCACTTGATGAGAGATGGATAATAACTAGAACTCAGATCCAGCAGATGGTATTTAATGGATGGTACTCAATGGAAACTCAAACAGGTAGGAGATGGAAAAATGAATATGGGTCTAACCCTTCTGAGCTCACAATGGAAGGAGCATCACAAACATAAACAGCCATAACCTGCATGGCCACCAACAGACGCACATGTGATAGGCACGGGAATGGAGAAGAGAGGGTGGTGTCAGCAGGATGTGGGATTTGCACAGGGAGAGCACAGAAGACATTCCAGGGAGACTGCAAGCACCACAGGCACCTTTCCTCTTTCACTTGCTCTACCTCTGCCACAGATCAGTGAGAGATCGTATCCTCAAAGGGGTTAGAGATGACAGACAGTAGGACGAACTGAATGTTCCAGTTCCACTCACCTAGGAACCTTGAGACCATCCAAATAGCCCTACTGGCTTTGGAGTCAGACCTCTGTTCCCTTTGTTCAGTCCCAGTTTCCCCTGGTACTGACTACCTTGTAAGTGAGCTTCGAATTTGACATCTGTAAAATGGGCCACTCTGCTAGCACAATTGTTAAGGGAAGTACTTGTGAAACACTCATTACAGTTTGGCAGACGGCAACCTGAGGGTAAAAAAAAAATGAGTTTTAGGTGGCCCAAGTAGTGTTTTGGAAATTCCTGGATTTTAATGCCTTCAAGTTAAGAGGACACTCCCTAGTTCTCCACTCACTTCCCCCACTCCATATTGACCTATTATTTATCGCTTCACACACTGATATTACCTGACTGGTGCCTGAAGGCATGAGAGTTTGCTCTCTGTGTAATCACTGTCGTCATCACCACCACTACTACTGCAATATATTCACATAGATATATAAACACACAAATACTATATACACACACACACACACACACACACACACACACACACAAGGTATATATTTGTATACTAAATGCCAGGCTCTGTCCTAAGCACTTTGCAATTATCCCATTTCAGAGAAGAGGAAACAGGGACAGAGAAGTTAGTAACTTGCTCCCAAGGTCATGTAGGCTAGTGACAGAGCTGGGATTGAAACCATGGAAGTCTGGCTCCAGAGACTGTGCTCCTCTTCACCATGTCTTAATGCAGGGAATCTGTGTGCAGCAACAATTGTAGACATGGACTCTCTAACGGGTAAACAGAGGGATAAAGTTATTGAGAGAATTAAATGAGATAATGCTAGTAAGACCAAATAATAATTGGGATATGGGAAGCACTGGATAAAATTAAGCTATTATCATTAAAGTAACCTTTTCTCTTTGAATCAATAGTGATACTTCCTTTCATGTGTACAGTATTTTAAAACTTAACAGCATTTCACAGCAAGCAGGGTAAGTATGATAGTTAATTTATGTATCAACTTGACTGGGTCACAGGGTGACCAGATATTTGGTCAAATATTATTTAGATATGTCTGTGAGGTGTTTTAAATGAGATTAACATTTGGCTCAGTAGACTGAATAAAGTCATTTGCCCTCCCTAGACGGAAAAAAGTCATTTGCCCTCCCTAATTTGGGTGGGCCTCATCCAATCAGTTGAAGGCCTGAATAGAACAAAATGGCCAACCCTCCCTCAAGTAAGAGGGAACTCCTCCTGCCTGACTGTCTTAAGGTGAGACTTCAATTCTTTCCTGCTATTGAACACAGACTGAAACATTGGCTCTTTCCAGGCTTAAGCCTGCCAGCATCTGTACTAAAACTATACCATCAATTGTCTTGGGTCTCCATCTTGCTGACTACAGATTTTGGGATTTGTGACCCTCTGCAATCATGTGAGCCAATTCCCTATATGTCTCCCCTACACCTAATACATATACACATGTATCTACTTATATACATGTATCTAACATGGGATAGAACTGGGTCTGGGAGGTGAATCTGGAGGCTTTAGTCTTCTTTAGGAAAGAGGATAAGCTGTGCAGTATAGGGTCATGTATCTAACATATATGTATGAGAGAGAGAGAGAGAGAGAGAGAAACATCCCATTTACTTTGTTTCTCTGGAGATTTTTGACAAATATAATAGGAAGTACCCTTAGCTTTCCCCTCTCACAGATGAAGAGCTGAGGCTTAGAGAAGTTGAGTGACTTGCACAGGTTACAACTCATCTCCTTGTCTTTCATCACCAGGACTTTCTAAGTCCTGCTGATTGTACTTTAATTCACTCAATAAATGCTTATCAAGCAACTATTATGGTTCAGGCATTATACCCCTAAATAATCGTCAAATATTTCCCCTCCCCCTCTCTCTTTCTTCCCATTCTCCCTGGCCTTACAGAACACAGCTTATCCTCTTTCTTGCATAGGACTAAAGGCTCCAGACTCACTTCCCAGGCCCAGGTCTATCTCATGTCAGACATTTCCTTACACATTTTTGCCTCCAGGACCCTTGGAATATGCAAGCCTGCTCACACTACAGTAGTTCCCTCTTCTCCACTGGGTATATGTTCCAACACCTTCAGTGGATGCCTGAAACTGAGATAGTACCTAACACAATATATACTATGGTGTTTTTGTATACATACATACATACATACCTATGATAACATTTAATTTATGAAGTAAGCACAGTAAGAGATCAACAATAATAACTAATAATAAAATAGAACAACTATAACAGTATATTGTAATAAAAGTTATGTAAGCGTGATCTCTTTCTCTCTCTCAAAATATCTTACTGTATGTAGCATTTTTGACGAAGGTTGGGATCAAGGTCAAGTACCAAGGGTCACTGAAACTGTGGAAAGTAAAACCACTGATAAGAGGTTACCTTACTCTCAACTGAAATCCTCTACAATCTCCCCATGGCCTACATATACAGCTGCTCCTTGATTTATGATCGGGGTACATCTCAATTGAAAATACCATAAGTTGGCCTGGTGCGGTGGCTCATGCCTGTAATCCCAGCACTTTGGGAGGCCAAGGTGGGACAATCGCTTGAGGCCAGGAGTTTGAGGCCAGCCTGGCCAACATGGCGAAACCCCATCTCTACTAAAATGCAAAAAAAATAGCTGGGTGTGGTGGTGCATGCCTGTAATCCCAGCTACTCAGGAGGCTGAGGCATGAGAATCGCTTGAACCCGGGAGGTGGAGGTTGCAGCGAGCCGAGATCATGCCACTTCACTCCAGCCTGGGTGACAGAGTGAGACTCTCTCTCTCTCTGTCTCTCTGTCTCTCTCTCTCTATCTATATCTATATCATAAGTCAAAAAGCAATTTCAGCTGACAATATGTATTTTCAACTTATGACGGGTTCATCAAGATGTTGCCCCACTGTTAAGTCGAGGGGCTCCTGAATGTGTATTGCTTTCACACCATCGTAAAGTCAAAAAATAGTAAGTTGAACCATTGTAAGTATAGGACCACCTGTACTCTGGCATGATACAAAAAACCCACTGTGGTCTGGCCTCTGCCACACACTGTGCAGAGCAGCCTTCCAGGCCTCCATGCTGGAGCTCTTCTTTACCTGCGATGACAGTAAATGATGAGACTAGGGCTAGAGCTCCCACTTCCCCTTCTCCTTCCTCTTCAGTACTCTTCTACAAAGAGGACAGAGCATTTAAAAATACATCACATCTTTGTATCCAATAAAATGAAAATGGTATTATGTGATGGGTATACAGGAGCTCACTTTAAAATTCCTTTAACTTTGATGTATGCTTCAAAATTTTCATTTAAAAATGAAGGAAAAAACTCATGCTGCTCCCCTGCTTAAAACCTTTCAATACCTTTTCCTTGCACCTCGGATAAAATGCAAATTCCCTAAAATGTCTCCTAAAGGAATTGATGTGATCTCTTTCTAGCTGTCTCCCTGGTGGCCTTACATCGTCTTAAACATGGCTGCCCTAGGGCCTTTACACTCACATGGAATTCCCCATCTGACACACACTTCATCCTACTCACTTCCTTGTTATTCCATTATGTCTCTGCTTAAATGTACCTTTCTCACAAAGACCAAATCCAAATTATGTTCTATTCTCTTAGAATCTAATTCATTTCCTTCATAGAACTTACTATAATTTGTAGATAAATGTTTGTCTTTTTACTATTATTTATGCTATCCCCTAGATAACATAAATACTAGATTATAAGCTCTATGAGGATTTGCTCATAATTACATCCCCAGTGCCTAGCACACAGCCAGTGTTCTATATATTTTCTTAATTAATGTTCCATAAACCCATCACATAGCTGAGCATCTTCCTACCTCTGCCTTTACTGTTCTGTCTACCCAGACTGATCCACTGTCCCCTGCCTTCCTCTAGTGTCTTCATCTGGCAAATTCCTATTTCATCTTTAAGATTTAGCTCCACCATGACCCCTCTTTTCCCAAGGTTATTAGGTCACTGTGCATAAACTCCCACAGCTGTTGAAGCACTGAGCTCACCATATAGTAATTGCACTTTATCTTTTCTGTGAATTCCTCAAGGCAACAGACTGGGTCCCTTTCTTCCCTGAAAACTCCGGAGCCAATACAAAACCGGACATATAATCAGCCTCAGTGAATATTTGACAAAAGGTTGCTGACCTGAAAGACAGGAATCAGAAATGCGAACAATGCACCTGGCATATAGAAGGTGCTCAGTAAATGGTAGCAATTATTGTCATTATTATTGTAGTACCATTTTTGTACCCGATCTTCCTGTGAATGCTCTTTAAATCATCCTTTAATTCACTCAAGAGAGATTTCTAGAGTGCCTACTCTGAAGTAAATACAGCAAGAACAGTTAAAATAATGAACCGGTCAGAGACTGGCTCCTCAAGGAACTCACAGAGAGATAAGACAAAAAATATAAGTAACTATAAAACAAATCTTAAGTTACTCTAAGGGAATTTGGCTGGGCTTTAGCCATAAACTAGAGAAGCACAGCCCAGCCAGCCAGCCAGGCCAGCACATCTATGGCCCCAGGACCCTTGATCTTGAAGCTTTACCAGTAAAACCTTTCAAAATAATGTTTTCTGGACTGCTGGCCACCACTCACCTCTCCTTACCTACCATGCTGATGACTCAGCATGCTTTGCAGCCATGCTTAGCTAAATACCAGTTCACAGTCTCATTCACAAGATCCAATGAAGATGTCCAGAAGGCAACTAAAGGTATAGGATTCTTATCTGAAAGTCTAGAGTTTCTGGGATTTCTAGGATCCTGTGTTAGACTTCTACTTTCTTATGCACTTAGTCTTTGTGCATTTAGTTTGCGTATCTAGTTAGTTATGGCAATCATTATATTCATACAAAGCTCTTGGTGTTTTTCTCATTTACGAAGCCATTATTCCTCAAACTCCAGTGGACGACCAAAAGTTAACATTTCATGTTAATGTTTCGTGTGTATGTGTGTGTACGTGTGTGTTTGTGCATGTGTGTGTGTATCCACTAAAAGGTAAGGGGTTGTTTTTTCTTAATTCATTTTTCATAAATTTTAATGCATATTATTGATTTTGCATTGAAATGGTTTTGCAAAGCATTTTACTCGAATCCTTATTTAGCATCTTGCAGACCTCAACACCTAGTGATAATATTTATTCCAAAAAAAAGGACATGGGTTTTTATTACTTTGCTTTAAAAAAAAAATCAATGAAGCATTTTTGCCTGTATTAGAGATTAAAATAACTTTTGCCTCACAATTAGGATTTTTTAAAATAATAAAAAAGAATTTGTCAAATATCATTGTCCCCATCCACAAAATCTCCACATTTCTTTAAAGTTTAAAGATACAGAAGAGGGAAAATGGCCAAATATGAAGTTGAGGGCCCTCAGCTTATATCCTAACTCCACCACTTACTATGAAGGACTGGCAGAATGTTTCTTCCTCTGTAGAGATGTACCCTCCACTCCCTGGTACCATGAGGCTAGAGGGAGACTGTGTGTCTGTGCAAAGGCTGAGTAGAATGCACAGGTGAAGACAGCTTCTACCTTGCAACTCAAGATACACTCATGGTACATTAGGGCATCATCCACATGAAAAGATTTTAAAATTTCATCTTAATAACTACTAACTGAGGTGAAACTGGGTATAGATGGGGACTAAAGGTGAATGAGAGGGTTGTCTCTCCTCCCAAAGAGTTTACAGTCTGGCAGAAAACAGACAAGCTCTGGTGTTAGATGACTTTGATTGACAGCCTAACTCTTCTACTTTTTAACTGGGGTACCTTGGGAAAGTTATTTCATCTCTTGAAACTTCAGTTTCCTCATCTGTAAAAATGAGGACAATAATAGTACCTACAACTCCTAGTGCTGTAGAAGGATTCAGATAAAGGATTAAGCACAATGTCTGGCATTTGGCAAGAATTCAATCAATCTTTATATCAGGATTATGATTTATGTCATTCCCAGCAGTTGCAAGGACCACAGATGTGAAGGACCTTCAAGGTACATCAGGAAACCACTGAGACAAGGAGGATGTGTGTCCCCACTTGATGAGCTTGAGGGAGAGAGTTATTTGTCCATAGCTCTTTCTTTTCCAAACTTTTGTCATTCATCAGTGATGATGGCAGTGAGGGGCTGCCACTCTGATGTGTCTTGGTATCTGTCTCATAAAACAGTGAGAAGGCCCAGCGGGGCTGTGTGGACAAAGCATGCTCATGTCTCTGCTGGAGAAGGAATACAGGGGGTTCACGTTCATAGAGAGGTACAAAAGGCATCCATGAATTACCCAGCCTACAGTTTCTCTTGCTCCTAGTTTTTGGCCACAGTGTCTCCTTCACAAGATGGACAGGAATTTGATAGAGAAAGAAAATAAAAGCTTGCTTGGGGTAAGATTAGGTTTGAACTTTAGTCAATTTGCTTATTTATTTATTCATTTACTTCAGGACTTGAACCCATTTCTGTCTTGACTCTAGAGTCTAGATTCTTACTCACTGCACTCATGGGCCCTCCCATGCTTATAAATGCAAACAGGAACAGAAGACAATTCGAAATTTTGCTTAAATTCAAAGAAAATAATCATTAACACTAGTAAGAGATCCAAATCTTTACAAGTGCTTCAAATCATTTCCAAGTGATTTAATAATGTTAATATTAATAGTAATAGGTACTATTTGTTGACTACTTACTGGATGCCAAGCACTTTATATGCATTTATGTCAATTTATGTGAGTGCTACTCAATATAGACTGCTATCACGTATGTTCTCTCAACAGTTTTTCAACACCCTTATGTGGTAGGGAGCCTCTCCTCCTCCCATTTCTCCACCTATGGGCCTCATTTTACACCCAAGGAAACTGAAATGCAGAGGAGGTAAAAGGACTTGATCAAAGTCACCCTATAAGTATAGGGCTTCTGGTACCCCTTGCCCATCCAGTTTGGTTACAGTTTCCGTCATGTTCAGATACAGCTCTTGGTGTTCTCTTGATTTACTCATATTCAATTCTTTCCATCTTACCTTAGCTGCTTCTCTCAAAATCACCTGCTAGTGATAGGCCTGCCCCTAATGTTTCCTACACAAAAGGCATCTTTTGTGTATGTGGCTATGTGGTCCAGTAGGAAGCTGCATTCACGATGAACTTCAATTTGACTCTGAGGCTAGTCAAATTGTCAAATTAAGTTTTATTGGCTACATTTGCAAAAATAAAAGATGCACGACTCAAGAAAAAAAGTTGTTACAAAGCTGAAATTAGGAAGTCTAAACATTCCTTGTGGAATGAATAGTGCCAGGCACATTTATGTCCATGGCGTAATGAGGAGACAAGGAAACTAGATAGACAAAATCCTTGCCCTCATAGAGTTTACATTCAAATGAAGGTAGCACAAACAAGTAATAAAAAATTAAAATAGTTTTAGATAGCAATAAGTAGTATAAGGAAAACAAGGCAGGATAAGGTGGATAGGCAGAATGATGGAGGGAGGGAGAGCTCTTCTGGACTGCAGATGAGAGAAGGACTGTTCTGAGGGGGGGTCCTTGAGAGCAGAAGCCTGAGCCAAGTGAAGGAGGAAGCCGTGTGAGGGTCTGGAGGTGCAGGTATAGCAGGATGGCGCTAAGGAGCCAGTTGGACATCCTGGAACAAGAGCAAGAGGGCCAGTGAGACTGAAGTGGGGTGAGCAAGCGTCAACAAGATCTGAGTGTCTGAGAGGCAGGTTGAGATCAGATAATACTGGATGTTGCAAGCCACAGTTAGGAATTTGGATCTTATTTATTCCACCAACAGTCCTATGGAGTATGTGGTATTTCCAAAGCAAAAAGTTGAAGCCTAAAAATATTATGTAACTTTATCTGCCCTTCTGAAACGTCACCGTTTAGTAGTGGCTTTTTTTTTTTTTTTTTTTTGAGATGGAGTCTCACTCTGTCACCCAGGCTGGAGTGCAGTGGCACGATCTCTGCTCACTGCAACCTCCGCCTCCTGGGTTCAAGCGATTCTCCTGGCTCACCCTTTAAGTAGGTGGGATTACAGGTGCCTGTCACCATGCCCAGCTAATTTTTTGTATTTTTAGTAGAGACGGTGTTTCACCATGTTGGTCAGGCTGGTCTCGAACTCCTGACCTCATGATCCGCCCGCCTTGGCCTCCCAAAGTGCTGGGATTACAGGCATGAGCCACTGCGCCCAGCCACGGTGGCATTTTCATGTTCTTTAGTCTTGCTATCAAATGAAAGCACAGGGTAGTTAAAAGGAAAATGAAAATGATGAGGCAGGGAGTCCCATAGAGGACCCCATTCTCCCTATCCCCAATAAGTCACTGTCAAATAGTAATAAATGAGTGGGAATCCAAATAAGGATTCAGGAAAATAAATGCAGTCTTCAGCCCTCTCTGGCCTTTGAAGTTTTATTCTATTTCCTAAAAACTAGAAACACTGTCCCAAGAACTGCTATCCACTTCATTCCAGTGTTCATTATTTACATCCCACATTATCCTTCTATGTCCAACACCATTAACAGTGTCAAGAAAGCTCAGGAAAACAAGGAATCCTGTTGCCTGGCAAATCCAGGAGTGGCAAATATATCAATTCTATGCTAGTCTAGCTATTCCCTGCACACTTCTATACTTAGCAAATCTACCTAAGAGGAAAAAGAAACCACAGAATTTTATAGAAGATATTAAAAACAGCCTTGACACTAAAATAGAAAGGACTTAGAAATGTTTACAATACTTAGGTAATATCTTCAACACACCTTCACCAGAAATTCATAAGGGCTGAACCCTTGTGAGTTGGTAAGCACAAGAAGGGTCTACAAAGGAAATATAGTACCCAGGTGAGGAGTGTGGGTTCTGGGGTCAGGCTGTCTAGGTTCAGAGAGTGATGATAAGGGCTTAATAAGAGAATTTGTATAAAGTACTTAGTATGATGCTTTATATGCAGTAATAATGCTAAAAAATAAGCTGCTATTATTATTACAGAGATAAACCCCAGACGTTGATTCAAGGATGGTGAGGTTAACAACATCACTAAGAGGAACACCGGAAAACAATGATGCCAAGAATAAATTGCAAGGTTGTAGGGGAACCAAGACTATGCATCCAAAAAATATTTATTGAACAACTTCTCTGGGCCAGAGTTCAACTTTCCTTTCAGCCATGAATGATTCTAAATCAAACAAATAGATCACAGGCACCCATGTCTAGTGTTGGACAATGGAGCTTCTGGTTTAAAAAACAGCCTTTGGATTTTCTACATCTAGGGAGACAAGACTCAACCAGAATTAACAAGAAAATAAGCTAAGTGTGAGGTGTGGAGCAGTATACAAATGCTATAGGTAATCAGAGACAGGAGACAATAATAGAGGCCAGAGAGGTCCAGAAGGGCTTCATTAAGCAGAAGACCTCACAGAGAATGAGGTGTCCTTGTCACCACAGTGGCTAGGTCTCCATCCAAAGCAGGCAGTCCTCTTAGCTGGTAAATGATGCTGCTGTTACAGAAATTAAAATATGACATAGAGATACATAAACAGAAATGCATAAAATGAAATAAAATCTGTTTCATGTAAGACAGCAGGATGTAGTAGAAAGAGCATGGACTTAGAGCCACAAGGCCTCAGTGATTACTACCTGTGAAATCCTGGGTAAAATACTTATTCTCTCTAAAATAAATAAATGTTTTGTGAATAAGTGGAATAAATGAAATTCAGTTACCATACCCTGTTTAAATCAGGTACAGCTCTATGGTCAATAAAACCACTCTGTGATCCTAGAAAGAGAAACTGTCTATTAAGTAAAGCGTTGTTATTAATTCATTTCATCCAGGGATGCTGAAACCAGAATAGATCATTCTTTTTGGAAAATGTTATCTGCAGACTTCCATTTAAATCCATAGCCATCTTAACTTATCCGTATATTTCACTCAACCAGTCATGATGTTCAGAAATGCAATTCAAAAATCAGTTCTTAATCACCTACTATATCCTAGAATATCCACAGATTTCACACAACCAGACATGTGACGGTCAGAAATGCAGTTCAAAAATCAACCCTTGATCATCTACTACATGCCAGACACTGAGGCAGATGACAAGGATTTGACAATGACAAAGGCACCACTCCTGTGCCCCTGTGGAGTTCATAAGCAGTTGACCAGGCTTTAACAACAGTGTGCCAGAAGCCCTTCTACACTCTACTACTAGACAGCATAGATTTTCACTTTTGAAACCTCCAGCCATTGGTCCCAGCTTGGTCCTGTCTTCTACCTCTTGAAAATCCTTCAAAATACTAGAATATGGAGATTCACTACATTTCTGAGCTTTGTTACCCCCTCTCACCCACCGCCATACCAAAGTGGACTGCTCTTGCATGAAGACATCCTTATTCTCCCATGTCTAGTTATGCATGGTCTTAGATTTCAGGAAGATCTTCAATTTGCCACCCCTATCTCTACATATCCCTGACCACCTACTGAAAAACAAGTTCCCCTAACCTATCCCCCTTAACCTGCTTTATTTTCCTTACAGCACTTAATGATGATCTGAAACTGCATTATTTTGTCTGTTTAGTGGTTTATAAGTGATATGGTTTGGCTGGTTTGGCTATGTCCCCACCAAAATCTCATCTTGAATTATAGTTCCCATAATCCCCACGTGTTGTGGGAGAGACCCGGTGGGAGGTAACTGAATCATGGCGGCAGTTACCTCCATGCTGCTGTTCTTGTGATAGCGAGTGAGTTCTCAGGAGATTTGATGGTTTTATAAGGGGCTTTTCCACCTTTTGCTTGGCACTTCTTCCTGCCATCATGTGAAGAAGGACATGTGTGCTTCGCCTTCTGACACGAATGTAAGTTTCCTGAGGCTTCCACAGCCATGTGGAACTGTGAGTCAATTAAACCTCTTTCTTTATAAATTACCCAGTCTCAGGCACTCCTTTATGGCAGCATGAGAATGGACTAATACAATAAGCTTGTTATTTACATGCACTGCTAGAATGTAAACTTTGTCCCCAGCACCTATCACAGTGCCTGGATACAATAGGTACTCAATCAATTTTTGTCAGAATAAATAAATGACAGAACATACAAACCCTGTATCGGTTTACCTATATCTTTCTGACTACATCTGTCCCTTTCAACTTGGTAGTATTTATATGCATATTTATATACATACATATATCTTCCCTACATGGCTGGAAACTCCTTGAGGATCCATGTCTATTTCACCTTTGTATCTTCTGGACACTTGAGGTAGAGTGTTTCCTGGTTAATGCCTGTTAAATGGAATAAATACATGATATGGTTCCCTACTTGTTCCTCTGCAGGCTTCTTAATCTTAACTTTGTCAAATCACTACCTCAATCCTCAAGAATACGAACATATTTGATTGGTGACAAGGAAAAGTAAAGGACCATTTTAACCACATTTCTGTTGCTTCCTTTTAAGAATTACTTGGCCACTAAGCTTAAAGGTTCTTTCCTCCCACCTCCTACAATCCATCAACCTCTTACTTGATAGGGCTTTTGCAAACACCTGTCAATTTCTTGGGGAGGGGAAAGTGAATAAAACCTTTAAAAAACATGCACTCTCCCAGAGTGCACCAATCTCTGCTTGCTGTGGGTACAAGCTATTTTTACCAGGTGATACTGTGATATTCCTTTTCAACACATGATATTCACTCTTTCAAGCTGTTCGGCACTGTTCTATTTGGTTTCATGTTACATCAATGAGACAGTTTGAGGGAAAAGGAAAAATGGGACATGCTATATTTAGAAGCACCACTGAAACCCTAAATAAAAACTCTGAAAATTTCCTAAGCTCTTTGGCATCTGCATTCAGGACCCTACCTACTGACCTAAGATTAAGGCTGAGTAAAAAATGCTTTTGTGTAGAGAGTATTTTCCTAAGAATATTAATTATAGAAAGCCATTTTCAGTGTATCCAAAACTTTAGAGGGTGAAAAATCATACAGACAGGACTTAAAGAGTCAAACAATTACTACATGTATTTTTTATCTTCATAGTATTTTTTACTCTGCAAATTATGAGTCTAATTATATTTTAAAATAATAAGATGTCTGGTTATGCATCTGGACGTGCTGAGTTTGAGGCAGCCATGTGACAAGTATGAAGAGTTGGCCAACAGCAGTTAGACATGGAAAAACAAAGCTCTGGGGGATTTAGGCTGGAGTATCAATTTCTCTGCATATGGGTAGAACATGAAATGATGAAAGAAAATAACATAAGCCTTGAAGAATCAGGAAAGCAGTAGGATTAGTAGGAAAACTTACTATTCAAATGTTAGCGATCAATGTGTGCTGGAAGGACAAGAAAAAGGTTTCAAAAGAAGTATGTGCCTAAGATAGTATCTAGCATGTTATGAAGGCTAAAACATCCTTAACTCACAGTCTC
Source organism: Homo sapiens (assembly GCF_000001405.40). NCBI lineage: Eukaryota > Metazoa > Chordata > Mammalia > Primates > Hominidae > Homo > Homo sapiens. Next base: position 50,066,247 of record NC_000001.11, on the reverse strand, counting down.
ATTGCAAGACTCAGTGGTTACAGGCAAAAGGTCTTTGTAATCTGTAAAACATGATACAACGATTTGTTTCTCTTATTTCTAGAAGGAATGTAAGGGTGGTAGGGTAGATCAACTGCAAAACTAGCACAATCTTTACCTATAACTATGCCCTTTGCAATGTGACTTTGCAGATCTTCCTAAAAGAGATGTAATCTCTTTCCCCACTCCTGTATCTGGGCTGGTCTTGTCATCTGCTTTGGCCAATAGGATGCAGTAGAAATTCCACCGTGTCACTTCTTCCTTACTTTCGCTCTCTCTTGGTACCCTGCCCAGCTGTCATATGAACAAGCCCTGGTTCTCCTTCTAGAGGAAAAGAGATCACATGGAAGATAGTCCAGTGAGCCCAGCCAAGGCCATCCTTAGATAGCCTATAGCCCTCAACCCCGACACATGTGAAAGAACCTGGTCATGATCAGCAGAGCTACCTTCTTGCCCAAGAGCTGACTAAAACATAAGAATAAGACCAACTGAGATAAAAAGAACTGACTTGTAGACTCATGAGCAATAATAAACATTCACTGTTTCAAACCATTGCATGTGAGGTGGTTAATTATACAGCAATAGGTAACTGATACAAGTAACAATAAATAAACCAGTCCACCCCGAGACATACTATGTGTCTGGCATTCTGCTAATGAGCACTTTGCAGGGATTATTTGATTATTTCATTTGTTTCTCACAATAAATTTATGCAGTAAATATTATTATTCCCATTTTATAGATTATAATAAAATCAAGGTGCACATTGGTTAAGTTAACTTGCTCCAGTGTTGCACAGCTAGCAAACAATGGGACCGAAATTCAAATCTGGCAGTCCAACCTCAGAGCAGCACTTAATCTAAGAAAGAGCATCTTTTCCTTAATCCAACAAATAGGAACTTTTCCCAGTCTTCTCCGGTATAATCTGTTCTAACCTTTTCCTTCACTTCTGATTGTTCTAACTCAAAAGGCCATTTCTATAAATAACAGCAAAAACTGACTTCATTTGTTGATATGTTATTTCATTTGATCCTTACAATAAGCATTAAGTTTCCACCATCACCTTTGTTTTATAGAGGTGAGAGGAAAAGGTGGGGGGTGAGCAGACTGGTTGGGCTGTAACTCCAAGTCTAGTAACTCCACAGCCAACACCCATGTTGCCTGGCCACTCTTCTGAATGGTCTCCAGGTTCTCCATGCCTTCCTTAAGGCTTAATTGCCAGCCGACAGTTCCACTTACTGAACATATACCAAATATCCCCTATGTCTCTAGGCACAAGACTGGCCCTTGAGGAGGCTTCAAAGCAGTTAAACCCATATTCCCTGCCCTCATGGAACTCAACACCACTTGGGGATGCAAGACAGAAATATACAAAAGGCTAAAGGAACAGTAAGAGATGAAAAGTAAGAGGGTATTACTAATTGTCAAATGAATGGAATAAACAGTCAGATTCCAGAGTTCAAAGTGGAGTGAGAGAAAAGTATGTTAGATCTATCCAGCAAGCCTTCACATGGGAGGGATAATAGGATGGGAAATTCTCTGTGGGAACACAGCCTGTCACTGCCATAGGTGTATGATTCTTGTTTTGGGTTGTCATGGTGACTGTATCTTCAAGATATTCATGTGGTGACTATTTAAATCTGGTGACTTTGGACAAGGCCAATTCCTAGTATGTAGACAAAAAAGATTCATCTGAGAGTTCCAACATATCCAGAAGTTGGCAGGACTGATAGCTGGATCCTGGAAACTTGAAACAACTACCACGTCATGCCAATCAATAGATCTAGAAAATGAATAGTAAGATTAGTCTAGTCCAGGGAGTAGAAAAAAAGATAGAGAAAAGGGCCAAGAAGCAATGCAAGCCATGCATCATACATACAGAATGTCAGCAGGTGGTGTTCTAGCCCTTAGGGGCCAGGGAAAAAATCGGTAAGAATAAAACACCTGCACTTGAGAAAATTCAACCAGTTTCACTTCCAGATTATTTTCTTTCTGTTCTCAATACCCAGGAAAGACCCACCTTGATCTAACACAACCTAACTTCCCAGGGGTACCTCTTGCCACCTATGCCCTTGCACTCTATGACACACCAGACACATTGTAATGACTGCAGTTTCTCAGCACACCTTTCTCTATTACACACCCATGCTGCTCCTGGCCTCTGGGACTTGGCACAAGCTTTTCCTTCTCTGGGATTCCTCATTTGTTCTATGTACCATACTCAATCCTGCCTTCCCTCTTCCCCTAGATAATTCCTAATTTTCCTTTATTCCTTAGTTTAAATGTCACTTCCAGTTGAAAATAGGGAAAACAGGAATCCCTGGGTGGGAAAAGACCATACATGAGGAAAGAGGCTGATACAGTGGGCCTGAAGCTAGATGAGATTGGTGGTTCCAGGTCCAGTAAGAGGTTCTAACTGAAAGCCACATTTAACAGTCTGAGAAAAGGAAGGCAGTGTGATAAAGAATGAAATAATTCTGTTACTAGGGTCGCATGTCACAATGCTATGGGACTACCATGAAGGCAGTCCAGACAAGAAGAAAATGCTTCACCAAGAACTGGGAAGAGAGGAGCACCTGAGATCTGGAAGCAGGAAAAATGGCAAAAGTCCCCAAGTGATGGTGGAAACGCTCGAAGAGGTCTTACAGAAAGAGGGTGGTTAGCCAGAGAGATAAGCTTATCAAAATAGATGAGTGCAAATGCTGATATAGGAACAGAGATCTGGAGACAGTGGCCATAGAGGAAGCTAAAAAACCATCAGGTAATATAACATGTACGTGTTTCCTACAGTGGCAGTAGCATAGGAGAAAGGTACAGGCAGCTTTAAAGCAACAAACAAAACAACAGTAGACAATGACCAGGAAATATGGTGAGAAGAGTCATCGGAAGAAAAGAAAGGCAAAACTGTAAGTAGCAGAACACATTATATAAATATCATTAATAATAAAAATAATATTCACCATGTATGAAGCGTTTACTCAATTACCAAGAATCTATTAATAATATGCATTATTTCATATGGAAAAAATGGCCTCGAGGATGTCCAGAGAGATACAAGAAAGGAGCAAGGCTGACAGTGTGCCATTTTGTAGGTGGAAGACTATATATCCACTGGAAATATTTAAAGTGACCTCTCCTAGGATCCAACTGGAGGGGTCTAGAGGACATTCAGGTTACATTTGTTTAGAATCCAATTATCCTACCAGAATGAAACCTTCTTGAGGACAGAGACTGTGCTTTTTGTTCACCACTGTGTGAACAGAACCTGGCACTGGGCCTGACACATGAGAGTACTAGATAAATATGGGTTGGTAGACTTAACAAACAAGTATGGATGGGTGAATGGATGGATGGATTAATGGATAAAAACTCAGCTTAACATATTTGTATCATCGGGAAGCAAGATAGAAAGCATGTGTCCATGTTTGAACCAAAAATTTAAAGGGGAATGGAAACATCCCAAATCCACACCTGCTGATGACAGTGAGAAATAAGGTGAGATACTCTCAAGAGAATGGTAGAATTCATCTGCCCCCACCTTTTCCCTCCTGTGTATTCTATTTCAAATCTCTTTTCTATTCACATCTTACAGGCCAAGCAAACAAATGATTCTCCTCATTCATTGATTCAACAAACACTTCCTAAGCTCCTCAAGGGGCCAGGGCCCAAGGCAGGCATGAAGTAGCACTGAGCACACAGACAAGCAGGACACAGGCTGGGAAATATCAATTAAGGTGGGTGTGGTATGGTAAGTGCAGAGGGTTCCTGTAAGAATACAGAATAGTCATGCCCAACTCAATTTGGGGTGGTCCAAAGACATAACAGGCATCCCAGATAAATATGATGGCATGGCTACAGGAACAAGAGGAGGAAGAGTAGTCCATTCAGAGGTAGAAGAAGTGAGAAATGACACAAATTAGGTCCCTCCTCTGGGCTCTCAGGGCACCCTGCACATATCTCATCATTGCATTTAGAGCAAAGACCGATGCTATCTGCTTATTCTCCTTGTTTTCTCCACAAGATTGTGGACTCCTTGAGATCAAAGGCTATGTTATTCATCTATATACTTCTAGCATCCAGCCAAGTTTCTGGGATACAAAGGATACTTAACTGGATGAACATGAACTTCAGAAAGGGAAGGCAACATACCATAATGGTTAAAAACATGATGAAGAACACTGAAACTCACTTGGCTGTGACACCTTGAGCCATTTCTCTGTGCCTCAGTTTCTTCATCTGTGACAGGAGGATAATAATAATACTTATCCGTATTAGTTGGGTCTACCCAGAAACAGACAATGAGACAGACAGAAGTGCAAGAGATTTATTAGTTTGCTGTGAAAATTTTGGGGCGAGGAGGGTGAAGAAAGTAGAATTGGAGACAGAGTCTCAGACTATGAGGCAAATCAGACAAAGGCCTGCCAACCTAATGGAGAGCTCTGAAATAAAGATTACCCATTAGGGGAGTTCCCACACTGGGCAGAAATGGCCAGGCCTTAGTACTCCCAGAGTGTTCAGTCATTGGCTAGGACCGCCCAGCAAAAGCATGGCCTACAGGCACTGCAACTGGAGACTGTCATCTAACTGCACTCCTTGCAAACAAACATAAGCTTCCTCTTAAAGGCAGATCTGAATGGTGCACCTCCATGAGGGCCACACTACCTGATGGGGTTGTGAGGTTTCCATTAGTTACTATGGATTAAACATGTTAAACAGTGCCCAGAATTTAGTATGCATTATTTAAGGATTTGGTCTTACTGTGAGTTATCTATACAACTACATGTAATTTTAAAACTTGAGTCTATGTTAGTAATTATAAACTCAAATGACTACAGGGGATAGGTAGGAAACATAAATGTGTAAATGGACCTAAAAAAGAGGAAAGGAGGCCCATGGTCTCTATAGCCTAACTGGAGAGTACATGCCTTGCCTTAAGGGATTCAGGTTAAAAACAATACCAAAGAAAATAGCCACTATTCAAGCCCAGCAAAGAGTCAAACCTTGAAAACTAAATTGGCATATAATTTTATGAACAAACCAAAGCTATTATGTAAATATCTTCTCCATCACTTTTGTTCACTGACAGTTAAGCGCAGAGCATCATAAGGACCTTACTTTTCAAAATCCATGCTGGTGAACTTGACCTCTTTGATACTTTAGGATTGATATTACAATCTCAAGAGGTATCACGGAATATTGAGGTTTGTTCTGCATTTGGTTATTCAAAGCTTTGATTTTTTAAATGTATAGAGATACTCTGTGCTGGATATTAAACACATGTCTATTTCTTTTTCCTCTCCAACAAGGGAAATAGAAGAAAAATTATCTTGAATGAGGGATGTAAATCATGCTTGAGTGCTACAAGGCACTCAGGGTACCTGGCCAGAGGAAGTAGGCAGACAACTTTGTCCAGCCACAATGGACAAAGAAGAGATGGAGTGGTGTGGGGAAATCAGGTTCTGGGCCTGTAAAGTGTGGAGACATAGGCTCACTGTGCCTATGAGTCTCACTGAGTTCTGAGACTTGTTTGAGACTTGGCAGGTGACAGTGGGAAAGTATTCCTACAAGTAGGATCATACTGGTGGCAGTGCAGTAGTTAGAACAGAGGACCCAGTGTAGCACCTTCTCAGCTAGAGGCCGACCCAGGCCCTCCTCCATAGTAAGAGCAGGAGATTCTGCTTCATGAAGTCCTTAGTCACTGCTCTGGATCTTGATCCTGAGCCAAGTTGTGACTCTGCCACCAGTTCTCTATGACTTAGCTGCAAAGCATGACATCACTTATGATTCCTGATTGTGGCATATTGATGTAGTTTGAGCTGCTGAGGGGAAAAGGAATGTGGACACTCCTGTTATACCCAATTATGTATCATGAAAAGTCATACAGCTTCTGTTGGAAGTCGAGCTTTTGATAAACAGACGGCAGGTGCCTAAATGACATTCCTTGATGACACTTGAAAAGGTCATAACAATCTCTCTGAACTCTGAAATTCTAGGTTTTGTATAAAGAGATTTGACTATTCTGTTTTTACTTGTAATGAACAGTATATGACAGGTAAACTTTAGGGCATACAATAACTTCATTTCAATTCTGTAGCACAGTGGAATATTTGAAAAATACTTTATTGAGATAAAATTTATAAAACAAAACTAACCATTTTAAAGTGAACAATCAGTGGCATTTAGTAGGTTCACATTTTTGTGCAATCATGACCTCTATCAAGTTCCAAAACACTTCCATTATTCCCCCTTATTCATTAAGCAGTTTTTCCCCATTCACCCCTGCTCCCTAACCCCTGGCAACCACCAATTTGCCTTGACACTATAGATTTATCTATTCTGGATATCTCATAAATGAAATAATATAATATGTGACCTTTTGTGTCTGGCTTCTTTCACTTATGTTTTGGAGGTTCATCCATGTTGTAGCATATATCAGAATTCATTTCTTTTCATGGCTGAATAATATTCCACTGCATTATATAAAACAATTTGTTTATGCATTCATCCATTCATGGACATCTGGGCTGTTTCTACCTTTTGGCCATTTATGAATAATGCCTCTATGAACATGTGTGTACTTGTACTTGAATACTTGTTTTCTATTCCTTTGGGTATATATGCCAAGGACTGAAAGCAAAACAGGAGGGTTCCATTTTCTCCAACGGTTTTTTTTTTTAAAAAACCTCCTCACCAATACTTTTTTTTTAAATCATAGCCATGCTAGTAGGTGTAAAGTGGTATCTCATTATGGTTTTAATGACGCTGAACATCTTTTTATGTGTTTGCTGGCTATTTCTTAACATTTTAAATAACAATCAGGGATCCAAATTTCAGTTAAAATTTCATTTTATATGAGGCTTCCAAATGCAAATAAATGAACTGAAGTGACAGTTTAACAGGTACTTTCTGTGAGCTCCACTAAGTCCGTGCATGTATAGGCAATGACAACTGCATCACAACTTGCTAAGTTTTAGTGTAGTATTTTTTAAACTTTATTGTAAAATGCATTCCATCTCAGAAATCTTATCTTAGAATCAGAGAAATATGATTGATATTTAAGAAAATGCAAGCTCTACAAGGGTGGCAATTTTTATTTATACCACTCTACTAGGCACTCAATAAATGTTGGCTAATTAAAGGTATCAGTTTGACCACCTGGACCCAGAGACTGAAAAATTTAATGCAGGCAGTAAGGAAGAAAAATGAATCTAGGATAATTTCTAGATTCAATATTTTTCTGCCTAGGGCCACTGGGTAAATGGTGGTGCCATTAACCAGAATAGTGAATAAAGGAACAAGAACACTTATAATAAAAGAATTATCCTGGGCCAGGTGCGGTAACTCATGCCTGTAATCCCAGCACTTTGGGAAGCTCAGGGGGATGGATTGCTTGAGCCCAGGAGTTTGAGACCAGCCTGGGCAACATGGGGAAACCTCATCTCTAAAAAAAAATACAAGCATGGTGGTGCATGCCTATAGTCCTAGCTACTAAGGAGGCTGAGGTGGAAGGATTACCTGAGCCTGGGGGGTGGAGGCTGCAGTAAGTCCTGATCGTGCCACTGTACTCTAGCCTGGGTGACAGAGTAAGACACTGTCAGGAAAAAAAAAAAAGGAATTATCTTAGAATTCTTACCATTAATGCGGAGGTCCATTTTTACTTTTTTTTTTTCTTTAGGCTAGTCAAGTGAAGTCATTTTTACTTTTTAATCTTCAATTTTCATGCTCCCTTTATAACAACCTTTCCATGTGGATAAGTGTAAAAGAAAAGTGAAAGGGTGCTATAGAAACATAAGGTAAGAATGCTGCCCCTTTCAAAATTTCCCATTTAATTTTTTTGTGGTTTGGTTTCCTCCTATATATCCTATCCTGTCCTTACCCCTGCTGAATGTCAATCCATCTCACATCAATCTAGTGCTCCATGGTTATAATGACAGTGTTTACAGTACTGGTTATCCCAATTTGGTTTTGTAAATTTAAATCTGTTCTCTAGCTTATGAATTGGAGAACGTCTCCCACAGAACATCATTTATCTATAAAAGCAGATCATGGTCCACTGTGACCCCTATATGACACCACTTTGTGATTAGAGGGACATAGCACTAAATTTTAGTTTACTCTGATCACTTCCCCCCGTGGACTGGTTCTTCCATTTCAAAAATCAGAAAAAAATAACTCAAGCTTCCTTTAATTTGGAAAAATGTTTCGGTGCTGTCTTTTAAAATTATTTTATTGTAAGAATACTCTAGCTTTGCTTGCATAATTTATACCCAAAAAGAATAAATCACACCCTTGAAGGTGAGAGAAATATTATTTCAACTCACAAGATTGTCCCATGTATACAAAAGTTTCTTGAGCTCTGTTCTTGTCATATGTCCCAAACAACATGGTAACTTGACATCATATTATAGTACAGTCACGTGTTGCTTAACAATGGGGATACGTTCTGAGAAATACGTCAGGCAATTTTGTCATCATGCAAACATCACAGAATGCACTTACACAAAGCCTAGGTGGTATAGACTACCGCACACCTAGGTTATATGGGATAGCCTACTGTTCACACGCTACAAACTTGGACAGCATGTGACTAGTTAATACTGTAGGCCTCTGTAACACAATGCTTGTATTTGTGTATCTAAACATAGAAAAAGTACAGTAAAATAGAGAATAAAAGATTAAAAACAGTACATGTTTATAGGCAGTTGCCATAAATGGAGCTTGCAGGGCTGGAAATTACTCTGAGTGAGTCAATGAATGAGTGCTGAGTGAATACGAAGGCCTAGGACATTACTGTACACTACTGTAGACTTTATAAGCATTGTACAATTAGGCTACACTGAATTTATAAAAATGTTTTTTCTTTTAATAATAAATTAACTTTAGCTTCTGTAACTTTTTTACTTTATAAATTTTTAAACTTTTAGACTCTTATAATAACACTTAGCTGAAAACACAAACACATGTACAGCTGTACACAAATATTTTCTTTCTTTATATCCTTTTCTATAAGCTTTTTTCTATTATTTTTTTTTTTACTTTTAAAACCTTTGCAGTTAAAAATGAAGATAAGAATGCACACAGTAGCCTAGGCCCATACAGGGTCAGAATCACCAATATCACTGTCTTGCACCTCCACATCTTGTTCCACTAGAAGGTCTTCAAGGGCAATAACAAACATGGACCTGTCACCTCCCGTGATAACAATGCCTTATTTTGAAATAACTCCTGAAGGACCTGCCTGAGGCTGTTTTACAATAAACTATTTTTTAAAATAAGTAGGTGTGCTTTTTTTTTTTTTTTGATACAGTCTTGCTCTGTCACCCAGGCTGGAGTGCAGTGGCACGATCTTGGCTTACTGCAAGCTCTGCCTCCCGGGTTCACGCCATTCTCCTGCCTCAGCCTCCTGAGTAGCTGGGACTAGAGGCGCCCGCCACCATGTCCAGCTAATTTTTGTATATTTAGTAGAGATGGAGTTTCACCGTGTTAGCCAGGATGGTCTCGATCTGACCTCGTGATCCGCCTGACTTGGCCTCCCAATGTGCTGGGATTACAGGCGTGAGCCACCTCACCCGGCCGGTGTACATTCTTAAATAATGATAAAAATATAGTATAGTAAATGCATAAACCAGTTACCTAGTAATGTATTAACATTATCAAGTGTTATATACTGTACATAATTGTATGTGCTATACTTTTATATGATTGGCAGCACAGTAGATTTGTTTACACCACTATTACCACAAACATATGAGTAATGTATTATGCTACGATGTTACAATGGCTATGATGTCACTAAGCAATGGGAGTTTTTCAGCTCCATTATAATCTTAGGGGACCTCCATCATAAATGAACTTCGTTGTTGACCTAAACGTACTTATGTGGTGCATGACCATACAGTATTACACTCAGTGCCATTTCCCCCTCAACAAGAACAGACAGGGAAAGTTTGTAGTACAAAACTCTTATTAGTAATACAAACTTGGGGTGTGACTTATATTATTACCATCATGCACCAGGCACTTCTAGAACACTAGTTCCAGTGACCTGAGTAAGATCCTCAACTTTTGCTTCCCAGATGACCCTTTGTCCAGAAACTCATGCTGTGAGAATAAAAAGACCTTTACTATCAGAAATGTAGGGAAAAAGATGGGCACCCAATCTCCAGGGAAAGAAAAGGAAATCCCTTTTATAATAGCAGCAGAGCCAACTAACCCAGATCAATCACAAGTTGCATAAGAGAGCAAAGTTATACAGAGTCCTACTCAAACCTCCAGCAGCAAAAACATGACTTCCTGGCGTAGACTTCCTATTTAGGCAGTCTGCAGTTGATGACTACTCAGAACTTTTGCTTTTTATTTTCTCCTTACTCCCATCTCCACCCTACCTCTCTGAAATTTTAACTCAAGTCAGCACAACTTCAAAACTTTTCCTGTAAAGGTTTTCGTTGAAGGAGCCTCATACTAAGTCATTTGCTCAATAAATAACTTGTTGATCGTCCCAAAGTGCTGGGATTACAGGCGTGAGGCACCGTGCCTGGCCTATATAGAATTTTGAAGGTCAAAGTAGAAAGATTTTTTCAACACTATCCACCAGTTGGGATAAGTTCCTTTGTGGTATATTTAAAATTGATTGTTGGGCATGGTGGCTCACGCCTGTAATCCCAGCACTTTGGGAGGCCGAGGCGGGTGGATCACGAGGTCAGGAGATCAAGACCATCCTGGCTAACACGGTGAAACCCCGTCTCTACTAAAAATACAAAAAATTAGCTGGGTGTGGTGGCGGGCGCCTGTAGTCCCAGCTACTCGGGAGGCTGAGGAAGGAGCATGGTGTAAGCCCAGGAGGCGGAGCTCGCAGTGAGCCAAGATCGCGGCACTGCACTCCAGCCTGGGAGAAAGAGCGAGACTCTGTCTCAAACAAAAACAAAAACAAAAACAAAAACAAAACAAAAAAAAAACAAAACAAATTGATCATGCTTTGAAGTCACAAAACCAGGATTTAAGTCCCTATTCTTGTCATTTACTGGATATCTATTATTGGGCAAGTCATCCAACTTCTCCAAGACTGTCGTTTTTAAAGTGGTGTCTTGGTCAGGGTCTCAACAGGAAACAGAAGGCATATTCAAAAAGGGAAATTGCGCAGGATTTAATGAAGATAAGTCATTGAAGATAGAAACAGTGGAGACCCAGCCCTAGATCTTGAGAGAACCCATAGAGAGAGAGAAAGCTGTAGCTGTAGATTGGATAGGTGATGTGGCCTCCACGCAGCCACTGCTAGCCACTGCTAGCCAGTAACCTGGAAGGGAGGGAGCTGGAGAAGTAAATATTCCAAACTCACTTTTCTTCTGTCTGAGATATCCTGTAAGTGCTCCGTATTGGCTGAATCCTTCCAGAAGCAAGAGTGCAAGGGAGCTTGTTGATGAAGCTATGAAGGTCAGCCCTAAGGCCACAGAAAGGATTGGGAAAAGGGTAGAGAGTAACATCTCAAGGGCAAATGAAAGATACTCAGCCCAAAACTTAATAATGGCTGTCCACCTCTCACATAGATTTGCTGTGAGGATCAAATTAATAATATTAATATATGTAAAAATACTTTGTAAACTGTAAACAAAATACACAAATATAATAATTATAAGGTCTATCCTATAAGAAATAAACAAAAAAGAATAATACCAATCTATGGTATGAGTCTTCTAAGGTTGACAGATCTCACACTTTTAAATCTAGTATATTCTTTACACTGGAATTTATTCTTTCTGGTTAAAAGTTCCAATCATGAGGACAAAAATCAAACAGAAAAGGGAATTTTCAGTATTAAATAAGTGAAAAATTAATTCCCCTGGCAAGATGGGAGTGACAATGGTTGGGCAGGACTCAGACACCTACACATCAGCATCTACCAGGTTGTTTTCCTGCCTTCCTCCCTTTTCCAGATCCTAATCTAACTTCTGCCAGCAGCAGAATTAGCAGAAGTCCATTTTCTATTGCACTTCAGAACCAGTTCTTATAAGCACAAATTCATTTGCCAAAGAAACATTCAACAAGCATTTGGAGAGAATCACTATGCTAAGCATCTACTTACTGGTAGACAATATTTACGTCAACATTTACTCAGTATATAAAACTTATAACTCAATTTACAATAGTTTTCCTCCTTGCTCACTCCTCTCAAGCCACACTGACCTCCTTGCTGTAACTTGAACCCCTCTAGGTATACTCCTGCCATATGGCCTTTGCCCTGGCTGTTCCCTCTGCTTATAACCCCCAGATAGCCACACAACTAAAACTTCTTCATCTTCATCAAGTTTTGTTCAAATATCACTTACCAGTGAGGCCTACTGTATTCAAGACTGCAATCCTCCACTGGAATCCTTATCCCTCTTTATCTTACTCTATTTTTTTTCCCACATAGCATTTATAACTGTCTAACGTGCTCTATGACGCACTTCTTGATTATGGTTATTTTTAATGTCTACTTTCTCTTGTTCCTTTGCTGACAGGGATAGCTGAGTTTTGTTCACTGATACATCCTAAACAGCTACAACTGGGCCAGGTCCATACCAGACACTCAATAAACATTCACTGAATCTATCAATCAATCTTGCCTATAATCCCAGCACTTTGAGAGGCTGAGGTGGGAGGATCACTTGAGGCCAGGAGTTTGAGAATAGCCTGGGCAACATAGAGAGACCCTGTCTCTACAAAAAAATGCAAAAATTAGCTAGGCTTGGTGGCGTGAACCTGTAGTTCCAGCTACTCAGGAGGCTGAGGTTGAAGGATTGCTTGAGCCCAGAAGGTCAAGGCTACAGTGAACTGTGACCATGCCACTACACTCCAGTTTGGGTGACAGAGCAAGACCGTCTCAAAAACACAAAACATAAAAAACAAAAACCAATCATCCATCAGTCATCTGAAATGGTTGTAGGAGGCTCAGAGACATGAGCAATTGTTTGTCAATGGAAGTATTAAAAGTACAAAAAGAAGCTATTTTGGTGTTATATTTTAAATATAATAGACTCACCCCAACTATAACTTGTTGCAAAATTGTTGCTCATAGGTGAAAATTCATAGTGATGATTAACCTTCATTACAATGAAAAGTAAAAGCTGCAGTATTTCTATTAAAAGAAACATAAGATCAAGTATCAAGCTGGTACTATAGATAATAAGCGTTTGCAATTAACATACTGTGAATAACTGTAAACTCTGTTATTATACTAATAAAATTTAAAAATTCCTACAGCAACTGGGAACTCCGTAGCAGTTGCAATGTCAACACTAGCCACTTTGCCAGTTGTTCAGAGGCTGTGCAAATTAGCACAAACTGGTAGTAACAGTAACACACATAGGGTTTTTGGGAGTCATTTTTGCACAACATAAGTTTAGCAGTTTTTTCTTTTCTTTGGATAAAATATCATACTCTGATGCATGAACATGTGGAACAGAGATGAACTTCAAACTAGTGAGGAGAATAAACTGTGTAGTAGGCAGTTTAGGTTCCTCTGAGTAAACTATTGCCAGACTCTGATTTGAGTGAACAAAGGTGCTTGTGTGGCAAATTTTGGTCCATAAATTCATGGTTTGAATATGTGGAAAAGATGCATCAAGGGATTAGTATAATTATTTTGTTTCAGAGATACCAGAGGGTCAAAGAGCTCAAATGACAAGGGGGTATGAAAGTATCAAAGTGGTAAATGGTTTCTTCTGAGAAAGTCAAACCTTCTGCTTCCATCACCTAAGATACTATAAAACTAGAAAGATTAGGAAGCTACTGCACAGCTGTCTTTTTTGATCAATGAAAGACATTGCTAGTGGACCTTATCACAGATTAAACTCAGCTTGGACAATGACCCTAACTCAGCTTCAGTTATAATCAGCTTTACACACAAAAAGTGTGGGGTGTGTATGTGTAGGTGTATCTGTATGTGTGTGTGTTGGTACATGATGAGTATTTTGGGGTTTCTCACATGTAAATCCAAATTGAACTGTTCTAAAACAAGAATTAAAATCTCACCTGTTTCATATTCTGCATGCTGAATTATTTTGAAAGAATCAATACAGCTTTTTACTAAAACCATGTGTTACTGGCTAAATTAAGTCCCTTCAAATTCATATGTTGAAGTGCTAACCCCCAGTATCTCAGGATGTGACTGTATTTTCATATAGGGCCTTTAAAAAAGTAATTAAGGTAAAAGGAGGTCATGTGAGTGGGCCCTAATCCAACAGGACTGGTATTCTTAAAGAAGAGATTAGGCCGTAAACAGAGCAAAGAACATATGAAGAGATAGACAAGACAGCCATTTTACAAGCCAAGGAGACAGATCTCAGAATAACAACCTTGCTAACACCTTCATCTTGAACTTCTAGCCTCCAGAACTGTGAGAAAATAAATTTTTGTTGTTTAAGCCTCCCAGTCTGTGATATTTGTCATGGCAGCCCTAGCAAACTAATACTCTATGTATGATTCATCTCATCATATTGTTCTATCAAAAGATGAAATAGATTTTAAAAATCCAGTTCCCAATAAAAAAATCACAAGTTGATAGATGCCTCATTTATGCAGTACCATGAGTGAATAAGTCATTCCACATTAAGTAAGATATCCAGATAACTGAAGCTTGCCCTTAACAAGCCTAAGTTTGTAATCTAATCCTATCAGATGGAAATGTTTCTAAAATACATCATTATATACTGCCCCACTTTTTAGAGAGAATATACAATTTAACTTTTTTAAAGAATAAAAATTAAAATGTCCAATAAATCAGCAATACTATTCAGTACTCTAATTCAAGTTTTACTTTGGCCCAAGAATAAGACTGATTTCTCATGTCTTATCTTTATAATTCATTCGCCCCTTACATTCAGCTAATATTTCTTGAAACTTGTATCTAGCAAGGCTTCTAAACTACTATAGGCTGAGAAACTAAGGAACTAAACATGTTAGAACTATGTCTGAAGTAAAAATAAAAAGGCTTGAGGGAATATGAGAGGAGCTTGCCTCTAAGTAAATGAGTTAGCATACTCTTTGTGGATATATGTTTGCTTTTGAGAAAAGTTTTTGCTTCCCTCACAGATTTGCCTATATTCCCAAGACATAATGTTGTAAAAAGTTCATGACTACTAAGTTTAGATAAGTGAGATTTCAGTTTTACAACATTTTATTAATAATTTTTGGCTTGTTTCTACCTCAAAAACTTTTAACAGCATATTTACGATAGATTGATATTATAATCTATATAGTGTTGATTCTGCCCTATAAAAAAGATGAATTTGAATATATCAACTTAAAAACTAACAGCTAGCATGTATCAGTATTTACCATGTGCCTGGTACTGTGCTAAACACACTTTACATATTTCACTTAGCTAAAACAATGCATAGAATTTATTGAAAGCAGGAAAAGGGATGCAAAATCACTATGATTTTTCAGCAACTGTGAATAATGGATGGATATTATAATATCCATTATCATATTATGCAAATGAGCAGTACTGCTCAAATAAAACATTTCAATTTTTTTTAAGCTACTAATGAAAACTAGTACCAAATTAAATATAATCTTGGCACAAGACAATCACTTTTTTCCATGGACCATCACTCCTGACATCAACCTGAAAAATTAAAGCACCTTCTCTAACTTTCCTGTGGCTCAGGATAAACTTACGAAGAAGGTATGCTATTATGCAGAATTAGGCCTCCCAAAGGCATGTACTTAACACATCTGGATGTTAATTTTAAGCATGAACTTTATTGATATATAATGCACATAAAATCAAATGCACAGATCATAAAGGTTCACTCTGATGAGTTTTGACAAATGGATATACCTTTGTAACCAACACCCCAATCAAGATAAAGCATATTTCAGTCACCCCAGTGAGCTCCCTCCTGTCCCTTTGTAGCCAAATCTCCCTCCCCAACTACAAGGAGCCATTTTTAAGCAGATGTAGTAGCAATGGTGGTAATAGCTACTGTTTATGTTTGGTTGATAATAGCAGTATTTACTGAATGCCCATATGGCAGGCACTGTACATATATAATATTAATTCTCATGTCAACTTTACGAGGTTGGTATTAACCCCATGTATCTATGGCGAAAAAAGTGGCAGGAAGGACCAAAAAATTAATTATGCAAGTCACATAACTACTGAGTGGTGAGGTCAGACCGGAACCAAGAATATCTAATTTAAAATCTCTCATGCTAAACTATATTGCACTTACACAAATGCTAAGGAGTTTTCTGTCAACCCAAAGCACACAGTAAGTAGAGGAATTAGTAAGGCCACCAGCTCTAACTCACAACTCCACCTCTATTACAACCCACACCCAAGTACCTTATCTTAGCAAGCAAGTAAAGGTTTCAGAGGCTAATACTAATGATAACTAAAGAGGATTACTTTAGTTCTTCAACTAAAAACCTGCATGTAAATCCCTCATGTATTTCTAGAGTAGTTAGTAGAGGAGGAAAATCCTCTGTATAGGTGGGTGGGTCACAACCCCATCGGCCCCAAGGATTTTGTTAGTGCTTTAAAAAATGAATGGAAGGAATCCAGCCATCCACTTGCTCATGGTTGACCCCATAAGCCACAGTGCCACAGTCTACCCTACCTAAAAACTGAAAGGAGAGGTGCCGCGCAGCATTGTACTGTCACTTTATTAAGGAAGCAAGTGGTGTCATGCAGCATTGTACTGTCACTTTATTGAAGAAGCAAGGAGGCAAACATCTGGATTGAACCTTTTGATTCCTTGTTACGTTAATTTTATTCAGTGTTTTAAACTCAACCCACTCACATTTACAAAACACTTCACACAGACTACTTCCCTCATGAATGGAGTTCCATTCACATCTCACTTAAAACATCAAACTTATTCTGAAATGATGGAGGTTAAAGCTTGTTCAGTGTCAATTTGCAAGTATTATAAAATATTAAAAGCTAGGCGCACAAATGCAGGAGGATAATGTGAGGCAGCTTCTCAAGGAGCTCTACTAAATTAAAGCATTTAGGTAAGGGGCATGGATAGGCTTAAAGGCACCAGAGAGCTCTCAACAAACTGTGTTGTGGAGCCCTGTATTTAAGTCCCCAGTGGGAAGATTTTATGAAAATTATTACCCTTGAGTGGTATTGGCTAACAGCTTGGGAATCAATATGACTCATTTTCCCCCAAACCTGGAATTGTTTTCTAGAAGTCCCTCCCTTCGGTTTCCCTGTGGTCTCCTCAAGTCCCTTAACATATGTTGGGGGAGGGGAGGTTCTCTCCTTGTAGAAACAAATGAGTCTCCTGCAGGTTCAAGACTTCAAGACCTGTGTTTACTAAATCCTACATGTATAACAGCCCCCAGCCCAAAGAGAGACAACAATTACAACATACACAGGTACACCCTACGAACACTTGAGGCTCCTTCTTCCTCAGCTAAACATGAGCACTGCTTAGTGTAACACACGCGCCTTCCCAATCTCGTCTAGAAATACCCAAGTCCCAGGTCCACAGCGGGGTGTAATAGAGGAAAGATAGGGGAGGGTGCTGCCCTCCCTGTGAGACAATTAGCGAAAGTCACACAGAGGGGCCCCCTGAGGATCCAAGTCCGCGCGCCCAGCGCCTCGGGACCCTGATCGCCCGAAGCTGCCTGGACTTTTTGGCGCCACCAGGACGTTCAACAAAGCCACCTCGAGGACAACTACGGAAAGGCGCAGAGAGGAGTGGCGCGGGGCTGCTGCGGGGTCGCCTGTCGCTGGGGAGGGGGCGCGCGTCAACCCAAGTTTCAGCTCTCTCCCCTGGGGCCGGGAAGTCTCAGGAGGCCGGCAGGGGTGTGACCCTGACCTGCGGGGCCAGAGCCGCCAGATGGGCTGCGGGTGGGGTCGCCAGGAGCCCTCAGGTCTGGGCAGCGCGGGGGCAGGATCCTCTTGCAAGGGCCCTCTCCCCCTCCCTGGGAGTCGGGGTGGCCAGGCTGGCCGCTGGGAGAAGCCAGTCGCGACCACGTGGCCCAGCGGGTGTCCGTAACAGAGGGCGGGCAGAGTCGGGGGTGCGGGGCCTGCGCCGAGGCGCTTCTACCTGGTTCTTGAGGCGCATCTTCCCCGCCGGGCGATCCGGCCCGAGGCTGCGGAGGCTGGGTGGGGCGGAGCGCGGCGGGCGGGAAGACGTCCGCAGAGTCTCACCGCTCTCGCTCTCTAGCTCGCTCTGCGGCTCCGCCACCGTCGCCGCCGCCACCCCCTGCCCACCTCGAGGGGGCGCTTCGCGTAGAGACGGAGGACGACTCCTGCGAGTCAGGTTCCTGTGGTGGCCCTGGCACCTACCTAGGGGGTTGGCATTCCAGTATGCTCAAAATGTTGAAGGAGAAAATCTCCTCTCTTTCCTCCAATGCTACTCCCTGTGGTCTGCTTAAATTTTAAATGAGGTAGTTTCTTTGCAGCTAAAGTTCACTGACACCGTTTGGACCAATGTTAATTGCTGTGCCGGACCCACGGGGTTTATAAATGTGACGAATTCAGAACCCTTAGAATAAATCTTACCCTTTGGGGAGAGGAGCATGGAGAAGGTGGCTTGTCTTTGGCAGGGAATGTAGACACCTTAAGTAGATCCTTCAAGTCATGTTTGGCTGTTTGGTGTCTAAGATATGTCCAAAGTAAAGTGAGAAATGGAAACAATTGACCCAAACAAAATGCCGAAGTCCTTTGTGAGCTATGATTTCACGTAAAAATAGTTACTGGCCCTTCCATTACTCTGTGGCCTTTTAAACCACGCTAGATGTTTGAATAACACAACATTAGTTCAGTGGTAGGTAATGGGATGATCATTAAAAATGGGAAAGTGGCTTGTTTGGCCCTCCTTGACCTTCATAAAATTCTACTCCTAGGGCTCAGAAACTAACAGTTGAATTGTTGAGAATGGCCACTATTGCCTAAAGAAAATCTACCTTGATTCAAAATACAGGAAATACAGGTATCAGTAAAAATTATTGGGCTAAGGTAAGCTTAGTATCAAGAGTTAGAATGGAAATATTAAAGAGGTCATCTTATCCAGTGTCTCTTTATAGGTGAAGGCTCTGAGGTCCAGGGAAGACCTGCCCCAGATTACAAAAGAATCAGGAGGAAAAATTATAAAAGTTCTCCCGACCCCTAGCCTATTGCTTTACCTCACAATTGTCAGCATTCTCAAGTTTTCCCTGTTTTTAAGACTTGGGCAAGATTCAGAACTTCAAATAGGCCCAAATAAACTAAAGAGGAATCCTAGGTAGTAAAAAGATTTGGGATGACAAATGGAACAAATTTGATGATGGTTTCATTATAATAATAGCTATGTTATTGACACTATGCCAAGCGCTATGTACTTTCCATGGACCATCTCATGCAATTCAAGTTTCTTAGTGCAGCCTTAAAATTGAACAATCACTGATGGCTATAAAAGCTTTTTTCCTACAATCTTCTTTGGTTATATAATACAAAGGAATTTTGCTGCTGAGCAGTTGGGGATATACCAACTCAAAATTCTGCTAATTCAAATCCATTGATCCAGTAGTTCCACTTTTATAAATTTATTTTAAGTAAATAATCATTAACATGTTCAAAGATTTGGGTCTATGATTTTTGCTGGGGCATTCTTTGAAATATGGAAAAATTATCAATATTATTTATAACTTTTCTATCAGTCAACTTGATATTGTGAACATCTTTGTTGACTGATTTTTCAGATCAGTCAATAAAGAAGACTGATCATACAATGGAATATTCTGGAGACATTAGGAATGATACAGTTGATGAATATCAACATGAAAAGTTGTTCACAATATATTTCAAAGTGAGAAAAGCAGTTCATAAAATTGTATCTTCAGAATGATCCTGTTTTTTGAAAGGGTAACTGGTTATTTTGGAAGGTGGGATGATGCATGATTCATATTTCCCTTTTGCCTGTGTTTTTTTTAAAAATCAGTAGTAAATGTTTATTATTTTAGAATTAAAATAAAACATTAGTTTTAGTGTATCACTATCTCTAATTATTATCAAAATAACTACAATGAGCAAAGCATTGTGGCAAAGGCCAGCAGGCAAAAATTCAGTGCAGTTTAGCATAGTAAAGAATATAGTCTTAACCACTGTAGTTAGGGTATTGATGAAACCTAAGTTCAAATCTTAGCTCTTTCCTCTTCAAGATATGTCATCTTGAACAAGTTGCTTGATCCTTCTAAAGCCTAAAAACAGTAATGATATTAATAGCTGACATTTTTTAAGACTTTACTTTGTACTAGACACTGTGCTAATCACTCTAGAATATCCTCCCCACGTCAGCTGATGAGGAAACTGAGGCTTAAATAGGGAAGTTAAATAAGTTGCCCAAATTTACACAGCTAGATAAACATATCATAGTGTGGTTGTGAGGATTAAGTGCAAGGGATCATTTAAAGCACGTAGCCTAACACTGGTAGGCATATGTACAAAAACTTGATGCACATTATTGTTTTTAATGATTTAGACAGAACCCTGTAGCAAGTTTTGCTCTTTATAACCATCTTATTACTGAAATCACCTCTCCAGGGAATCTAATTTGGCTGTTTAGTGTGGTGGGTAAAAGCCTGTCTTGGTTTGATTCACAACTCTACCACTTAGTAACTCTGTGATGCTGGGTAACGTACTTAATCTCTTTGTGCCTCAGTTTTCTCATCTGTAAGATAGGCATAATATTAGAACTGTCTTCATGGGGTTTGTTCTGAGGATTAAAGAAGTTAATATACAGAAAGCATTAAGAACAGTCCCTGGTAAAAATGATTACAAATTAAAAAAATTTTAAGTTCTTTGTCACACTCTAATATAAAGATTTTAGTACGTGTTCCTTATATTGATATATAAACATATTGTTATTTAACACTAAAAGGTTGTGTAAATGTGTGACCTGTCACAATTCATAGTGGAAAGCTGTCCCTATTTAAAAGAAACCCATGTAGCATTTACATATGCTCATATTACTAAAACAGAAGTTAAATCCAGACACAAGACATACAAAGATTATTAATTCTTTCAGTTTTAACTTTTCCAAAGTCAGCTCAGCTATGAATTCTTCAAAATAAAAAATCTGGCATACATAGGACTTTATTGTACATTTTATTTATTATATTTAATGATTTAATCTATTCTCTGGATTTATTAGCTCTTTCAAAAACAATTGAAAAACTCCACAGAGAGACTTTAAAAATAAAACTCCAATTTTATAATTTCTGTTTATCTTATTGATATTTCAGAAGTAATCTAAGAAAGGTCTAGGAATCAAATATATTAAGGTAATACCACTTACATGAAAAATTTTATCAAAATAGTACCTCATCATAGAATTAAGAACCATGTAATAGGAAAAAAAAGTTTCTCATCAGTTGAAAAATTTTTTAGGCTTACTCATGTATTTATATGACTGTATACATATATGTACATAGTTAAAATATTATCAGGATAGTATTAACTATTTTAAAGTAAGTGTTTGGGAATTATGTTAAAAATCTCCAAAGCAAATTATTAATTTATATTCCTTCCCAATACAAACCATAAATAGTATCTGTGATCATTTTGCCCAAATTTGTAAACGTGTAAAATCTACAATTTTACAATTACTAGTCATATTGTGGCTCTAGAATAGTCAACTTCATGTAACAAAGCAATCAGTAAGAGCATGGAAACTTACTTTCTTCCTTGGAAAGGCAATTCCTGTATTAAGGACAATGTTATTTTTCTTTAAAAGTCCCAAATCTTCACACAAAGGCATTACAAGCTCATTGTGCACCTCAGTTATAAGGGCACCTGTGTTTCTTTGTTCATCTTGTTGATCTGACCTGAGGATTTGATTTGCCACACTCCTCCCCTGTCCCGCCCTGTTTCTCTCTTAATGAGAACAACTTAACAATAGCATCCATGTAAACTCCATGGCTCAAATAATGAATGGTGAAGAATAGAGGTATTAGTTATGGTGGGGAGCACTTGTTGCTGAACCTACATGTAAAGAGCTAAAATTCAGGGTTAGTAAGCATAAATGTAGGGGATAGGTCAATTTTAAAACAGAGGTTTCAGAGCATGAGAGTGAGTCTCCACCCACACCCCTAGCCCAGCTCCTCCCTGTGGAGTGCTGTGTAGTATTAGAGTCAGATGAATTCCACCTCTGTTATTCAGGAGCTGCATGATCCCTGGCAAGTTCCTTTTTCTCTCTGAGCCTCAGTTTGTATTTAATAGAAATAATAGTACTTACCTTATAGGTTGCTATGAAGATGATGATTTTTAAAGTTATTGGAAAAAATATGTAAAGTGGCTGCTTAATACTAGTTGCTTCTCTTTCCGCTTTCACCTCTGCATTGGGCACATTCAAAACAAACTCCAACTATGCACACCAACATAAGAATTGGCTTATGTGAAATTATGGATATTTGAAGAATTTGGGAACTTGACATAAGATAGAACATGGCTTGTATTCATTTCAACATCTCCTAAGGGGAACAAAGGAACCGTAGTCATTTATCAAGAATTCATTGAGCACCTAGTATGTCCACGCTTCACTCTAACCCCTGGTGGTAGAGTTGTCTTCTGTTCTCGAGATGATCACAGCTTGAGGAGACTGTAGGTGAGGAAATGACAGACAATGACAATACAGTGTAACAAGTACCAACACAGAAAGAAGCAAGAGGGACTTCTAGAGTGCAGAGCAGGAGCATCCAAAGCAGCTTGGCTGTGTGTATGTGTATATGTGGGGGTGGGTGGAGGGTGGTTACTGGGATAGTTCTGAGCGGGTCAGGGGTGGGGTGGGAACCAAAACGATTCCAGTATTGAATTTTAAGGAAGCAGGAGTTAGAAAAGCTGAACATCAAAGCTTGATGAGGTACTTTTTAAAAATATCTACTTTACATAGCTGTGAAATAAATGTATTCTACTTTCATAGTAAAGCTACATTGTATAATACTTTTATTGACTATTATGGATACAACAAAATTTGTGCAATCTCTAATATTTCATCACATGAGATTTTAATGCAAACAATGAATAAGTGCTATTCTCAAGTAAGCCCATGAGCATATGTTCAGAAACATTTGATTAGAGCCTTTGCTCTCACAGTTTTAACTATTCTTAGTTGCTCCTTAACAGTTGTCGTTTGCACTTAATAGACTAGACGATTAATTGCTTAGTAGTTGACAATAACTCGGCCAATCATGATAGCAGGAAATAAGAGAAAGAGTACTCAGTCTTCATGTAGGTTTTAGTGCTGGAAAGGACCTTAGAAATTATTGATATTATCCTTCTCATTTTACTGGTGAGGAAAGTCAGGTCTAAAGAAGCTCAGTGATCTGCTCAAATTCACACAGCTTGTGAGAAGCAGATCCACAAATAGAACCCAGTTGGCTATGGCTACCGTTCACTGGGCATTTCCAACATGCTGACAACCAAAATCTCTGAGTACTATTTCATTTTACTGGCATTTCTACTCTAACACGTATCCCTTAAATCCTTTTAGAATGGAGAAGGAAATACGTACTTTTAAAAAGTATTTGTTCTGTGGATACTGGTAGATGAAAAAATGGCATTCACAGAGAACTTGCTTTATTAGCTGGTTAATGTATATTCCTACCCACCTGCTCTTCAGCATTGTGACCTTGTCACTCCCTTACCAGGAGGGGAATCTCATCCTCCTACCTTTGAATGTTGGTCACTCTTAGTGATTCTGGGCCATGCTATCTACTGCCCTTTCCAACTATCAGGAATGCAGATGTCATGGAGCTGTAATGGTGGGAGCTGAGATAGAAATTGGCAGGACAACAAAACAGAAAGCCTCTGAAACCTTGATGATTATGTGTTGTCATAGCAGCCATGGACCACATACCCAGACTTTTACATGACAGAGGAATAAGCTTCTATCTTACTTTGGTCATGGTTATTTTGGACCTTCCTTTCACAGCAACCTAACCAATATCCTAACCAACACAACTGAAGATACCATAATGAGTCTAAAGTGCCTGGCATAAAACTGGTGCTCAGCAGTAAGTAGCTAGCACATTTCAAATACCAAAGCCATCTATTGCCCTTCAGGACACAATTCCTTCTTTCGGAGTGATTTTTAGACTTGGCTTATTGATTTTTTTTTTTCCACATAGGCTTCCTTCTATCTCTGCCTTCTGGGTCATCATCAGACAACAGTGATATTTCAAGTTGCTTACTCCCCGTAATCTTTGAGCTCTTAATCTCCAGTGTCTCCCTTCTCCTCAATTTCAGCCACCTAGGTTCACAGCTGATCTCAGGCTTCATTATAGTACTAAATGGCTCCACCCTCAAGCTCTAGAATTCAGCCATTTTTCTCTCATATTCCTGCTTCTTCCCTGGTCACTGTTCTTACCCTTTTAGTGCTACCAACCCAGTTTTCGTTCTCATCGTGTTTCTCAACTCCTAGGTCCCATCCTGTGTGCCTAGCATGATGTTATGCCTGGCACTTCTACTGAGCATGGGCCATGTGCCCAGCATTTTCTCTATCATCCTCTAGAATCTCAGCACACCCTCTTCATCTTCTGATATACCACCTGGTCAGCACTAGCCCAGCTGATCCAAGTGGGCCTCCTCTGGATTCCCACAGCACATTTGCAGTCCTCTATCACAACTGCTGTCACATTGCTTTGTCAATTTCAGTTTGTGTGTCTGTCTCCCCACTAGACTATGAGCTTTTTGAGGTTGGAGACTGACTTATGGTCTATGTAACTACAACTTAAGCAAAAAACACATCTACTAGTTGGAGTGTCACGGATTTTCCTGCCTTCATGCCTTTGCTTATGCCATCTGTCCCTGGGAATCTTTTTCCCCAACTACATTGCCTCCTTTTAAAATCAGACAACTGCTATAAGGTTCATCTCACATACCACTTCCAAAAAGTTTTTCCTGATATGACACCTTCCTCCATTGGAGTTCCAAAGCATTTCATTGGTATTTCTTTGCACTTTTTGCATTTATTTGGTTTTGAAGTCAGTTTAATTACTGAATACCTATTATTCACCCAGTGATATACTGCCCACTTTACTCATGGCTATCATTTATTCCTCATAAATATCCAATAATCCTGATTTTACAGATAAGGAAACTGAGGCTTTGAAAGATTACACAACTTTGCAAAATCACACAGCTAGAAAGTAGAAGGACCATGATTCACTCCCAGGTCAGAGTTCTCTTGCTGAACTGCGTTGCTTCATAGATGCTTTGGAGACTTGTTCCTTGTGTAAATGTCTTGCCCCTCTGTGTGAGTTCTTGGGGGGCAAGCGGTGTGTCTTTCACCTTTACATATCCTTTAACATCTGGCCCAGCCTTTTGCACGTAGTAAAATAAACAGAAAATAAAATTGATTCAGAGACTCTCAGAAACACCTACAAGACAGCCCAGGGACTCCACCCCCTCCACTCCCATTTCCCTCTTACTGACCCAAGGGACCTGATTGCCAACCGGCTCAAAACGGACCCTTGCAGGAGCAGGTGCTAATTCAAACAGCCTCATTAACAATCTGTGGGGCTCCTGCACTAATTACAGTGGGGCTTTAACTACATCCAGTTCACCAATTCAACAGCTTCTATTTTTAACCCATAATGGTGGGATCTCCAGGAGGAGTATACAGGGATCTAGTGTTCTCTCATGCCACCTTATGTCCCTTCCCAGTGTTTCCAAGGAAAAAAGCTGGGAGAAAGTGAGAAAATACATTCAATTAGTGAAATTGTGATTTATATCTCACAGCTTATCTGTTCCTTAGCTGTTTGAACATTATAATTTTTAAAATCAAGGTAAATCTAAAAACAAAGAAAATTTATGGAACTACCATTGACCATGACAGAATAGACACTTCTTTTCCCAGCCATGTAGTTCCCATGATACCTCAATAATTCTGAGTCACTTTGTATAATTTATTATTTTGATAATTTTACATTTATTTTTGCTATTCCTTGGTTAATCTCTATTTCTTCTATTAGCTTATTAACCCAGTGAAGACAGGGATAGCATCATCTCTTTCTCTAATTCAGAGCCTGCTATGTTTCAATTAGGCTGTTTGCTACGTTTCCAACTACCTTATCTCTAATTGTAATAAGGACACACAAGGTAGGCACTAATGTGTCTACTTCACAGATAAGGAATCTGAGATTCAGGGAGGTTAAATAAGTAATCTAGGACCATATAGCTAGTAAGTGGAGAGGCTATAATTTAAATCCAATCTTTCTAGTTCCAAAAGTAATAATTGATCCTCTATGCTGTATTGCCTTTGACTAAAGAAGCTGTTAATCTTGGTGGGTTTTTGTTTTTGTTTTGTTTTGTTTTTGTTGTTAAAAAAGAAATTGTCTCAATGGTTTGTTAGCCAAGTGCTAAATTTCTCTCCCGGATATGGGTATGTTTTTGATAGAGAAGAGACAAGAACTGTGTATCCACGTGACTATCGTTAGAAAAAATGTTGCTTACTGCTACACAGCTTTCTTTTAAAACAAAATATTGATGACTTAGTTTAATTTATCTAAATTTCTTGTGTCAGATTTCACTGTGTGTATTTGTATGTTTATTGTGTTTTTATTCTGCCTCAGAGACTAGTATTCTGAAAATTGAAGTTTCCTTAGGAAAGTTTGAGATACAAAGATTCAGTGATTTTGGCTGCCCATATTGCTGGGGTTTGGGAAATCCAACGTTGTAAACAAAGTAACTTTTTTCATGACTTCCTCATGTTTTCTTTTGTCTACTTATCACAGCATATTTATTATCAGTTTGAAACAGATTTTTCCTTTTGTATCTTGTTAGTTTTATCTTCCCAGAATTTGTCCTAAGGAAATAAATTGTAGATTTCGCTTTGATTCTGATGCCTCCTTGAACTTCAAAGGTAATATTCCCTCAGAGAGAAGCTTTGGATTCTAATTTTTTTTCTCTCAGAAAATTATACAGACAACATACTTGAAGTAGTATGGTGGAAAGTTCTACAAGAAGAAATGAATGTATGAGCTCTCTTTTTAGAGAAGATGCTGGTAAGAAAGTAAAAAGAAGGAAAAGACAATAGTATACGAAGAAGACAGGCCCCCTCAAGCATTCAATGGCAAACCTAACAAATAAACTTTTTTTTCCTTCAAGATAAAAATTATCTTAAAGAAAAAGTGGAAACTTATGATCTTCAAGGCAAGGAATAGAAAACTCCTCTTACTATAGTTTTTCTTCTAAAAAAAGAGTGAGTTTATACCAACTCTTTAGAAATATCATTTAGCCCCAATATTCTCTCTATTGCAAGTGGGCAAGTTCTGCCCCATGGAAATGCTACTTTTGTTTGATAAAAACAAAACCAGATACAGGGAGCATAACTTCTCATTCCTTAATTGTGAGCTGCAAATTGTGACTTTCTCCAAAGAATGTAATATGGAAAGAGGTAACTTTACACTAGAGAAACCTGAAAAATACTACCTCAACCAGGTAATCAAGGTCAATAGCAACAGTCATAAATCATGTTGATAGTATGTGCCCTTCATTTGATGTGATAAAAATGACACTTTACCTCTGTAATCTTCCTTCCCCAAACCCATATCCCCAGCGTAATCTTGAGAGAAACATCAAAGTCCATTAGAGGGGCGTCTTACAAAATACTTGAGCAGTACTCCCTAAATCTGTCAATGTCATCAAAAACAAGGGAAGTCAGAGAAAATATCACAAGCAAAAATAGCCTACGGAGACATGTCAGCTAAATGTAATGTGGTGTGAAATAGAATAATTCAAACTTAAAACTGTTGAAACTTTAAATTATTCTGACCCTTGAGAGGGATGTGGCTCTGCAGCCTGAGTCACATGGCATGAAGTAGCAACTTCTGCTTTTTTTCCCCCGTAAATAGTTAAGACCAGGCTGGGCACAGTAGCCCACGACTGTAATCCCAGCACTTTGGAAGGCCAAGGTGGGCAGATCATGAGGTCAAGAGTTTGAGACCAGCCTGGCCAACATGGTGAAACCCCATTTCTACTAAAAATATAAAAATTAGCTGAGTGTGTTGGCACGTGCCTGTAGTACCAGCTACTCAGGAGGCTGAGGCAAGAGAATCCGCTTGAATCGGGGAGGTGGAGGTTGCAGTGAGCCATGATCACACCATCGCACTCCAGCCTGGGTGACAGAGCGGGACTCTGTCTCAAAAAAAAAAAAAAAAAGTTAAGACCAAACAGCACCAGAGATAAGAATCCCTCAGATCATTGCCCCTCCTTCTGAAGTAAAAAGCTTCCTCGGAATGTAGCAGTCTGTAACCAATCAAATTGCTGTAATATATGCACTGATCTATGGGGAAAATGTAATCCTGCTAAAATTTCTCTGCCTTTGCCTATTAAGTGAAACCTCAACTTCTTCACCTGGGAACCTGACCCCATTCATTTGGAGTCAATGTTTCCACATGACCACCTTTAATATTTGTGTTCAAGTAAACTCTATCCTTAATCATATTTTCTGAATCTAGTTATTTAAGGTTGACTGTGGTATCTTGCATGAGATCTTGGAAAAGAAAAAGGATGCTAGATAAAACTAAGAAAATGTGATAAAATTGAGACTTAAATTAATAATAATTCGTCAATATTAGCTGGTTAATTGTAACAAATTGATACCATACTAATATAAGATGTTAGTAATAGGTGAAACGGTGTGTGAGGTGTGTGGATACTCTATACTATCTTCTTAATTTTTCTGTAAATCTAAAACTATTCTAAAAATGGAAATTCATATTTTAAAAAGCTCAACAAATAAAAATGCTTATAGGGTCATTTAAGAGCTTCCTCAGAAATTTAGAAGAACACAGAAACAACGGATGTTACATAATAAGTTCTAACATTTGGATGATCCTATACTATCTTACTTAATTTTTAAAATAGTCTAGTGAAGTAGATACAACTATTTATTCCCACTTTATAGCAAAGAAAAGTGGAGCTTAGAAAGATGAGGTGGCTTGATAAGAATTTTACAGCTTATCTCCCTAGTTCCAATGATCTTTCCACCATATCCCATTTACCTTTCTACTGCTCCTAAACATTAGCAACAAAATAGGCAATAACAGTACCAGGCTTTAATGGTTGGTCAATATAAGGCAAGAGAGTAATTGCTACACCCTTTTCCATTGTTTGCCCACCCAAAACATTGATCTAAAGTATCCATTTAAGCACTGGTTAATGGCATCGTATCACAAAAAGTCAGTAAATGGTGCTTGCCTCTGACAACAAGGGTACAGAATGTGTTACCATTGAGGGTGGATGGTATTGTGAAGGGGCAATAGTTTACTTTTTGTCAGAAAGCGTTCTATTTTAGGTCTGCACACTTAGGAATATGACCTCTACTGAAGAACACCTTAAACATCTCATTTAGCTTTTAGGAGTTTGTTGATAATAGATGGTGTTCTATACTTTGAACTGGGGAAGTGTTCAAAGACTAGCAATGGTTTGGGCATCATTCACAAAGTCTTCCAGCTGTGGTGGCCATACGCCACTCCATCTGCCTGTATTGTGTGGGTGTTGTTCTGCTACGTTCTGAAGCTTGCCTACTCTTGCTTTTGGATAACAGACTACTTGGGCAGGGATATAGTTTTTTGTTTGGACCATTTTACCTGCTGCAAAGCAACATATACCCTTCCCCCGCCCCAGCCGGCAAGTTCAGAAGACATGTGGCTGTTAAGTTGGCAATTGTAGCAGCATTAAAAATATACATATGAGAAATCGTATCCCTGACAATCAGTTTATTGTGTGGCATGTGAGAGGGGTGAGGGATGGGAGGAGATTACCACTTAAAACATCTGCCAAGACACAGGTGGTAACAGTAGCAATTACTGGATATTATTAAATACAGCTACTGTGAGATGAACTCACCATACAGAATCTGTCTCTAATCCCATCAGAGAAGCTGGCTTATAATTATGGATCTTGTTGGATGTCTTAAAGGGTAACTGGCCTGAGTTTCTGCCAGATCTTAGTTGGAGAGCGTGTATGAGAGGGAGGTGAACAGGGCACATGCAGAGGATTTTGAAGATGAGAAGTTCCCCAATAAATGTTATTTTAAACTTCCTGTTTTGCTGTAAACTGTGTTAGAAAGAAAGTCCACATGATTTTGGTCATCTCTGGGGGCTTTAGAAATACAATGTTTTTACCACTTTTGGTATTCAAATTATTTATAGAGCTTCTAGGACTATACTCAACTTCTCCACCCACAGAGAAGCCATTTTCTACTGTTTAACTTATTGTCAAGTCATTTCAGATCACCTGCAGTTAGTATTTAAGCTGTGTTTTCTTACCTCTATCCTTACATGTCTGTTTCTTTGACCTAGGATCCTCATTTTCTTCTGATGATCCTTTAAAATTCAGCTCACATTTTACCTTCCTCTGGGAAATCTCCTTTGGTTACACTCTGTTTCAACTGAAAGTTTAAATTAGGTGATCTTTTTTTGTACTCTCCAATTATCTGTACATGGACCTATCATGCCTTTTTTTTTTTTTTTTGAGACAGAGCCTCCCTCTGTCGCCCAGGCTGGAGTGCAGTGGCGTGATCTCAGCTCATTGCAACCTTCACCTCCTCAGTTTGAGCGATTCTCCTGCCTCAGCCTCCCGAGTAGCTGAGATTACAGGAGCCCGACACCACGCCTGGCTAATTTTTGAATTTTTAGTAGAGATGGGGTTTCACCATGTTGGCCAGATTGTCTCAAACTCCTGACCTCAAATGATCCACCCACCTCGGCCTCCCCAAATGCTGGGATTACAGGCATGAGCCACCGCACCCGACCCATATCATTTCTTGTTCATTCATTTATTCAACCATTCATTAAAAATATTTATAAAGTATTCACTCACTATGTATCAGAAGTTGTTTTAGCTATGGAAGATGTATCAGGGCACAAAATAGGTAAGGTTCCTGTTCTCACAGAGCTTACTATTGGAAAGAAAGTCAATGAATACGTGGATAAATGATTAAATAGAATTTATGATTTTAGACAGTAAAGAAAAACAGAGTAGTGAGATTGTGAGTAACCGAGGGTGGGAGCTATTTTGATTGAATGGACAGAGAAGGGTTCTCTGAGGAGATGACATTTGAAAAGAGGCCTGAATGAAGTGAGAGAGCAAGTGATGTGAAGATGTGAGGGGAGAGTAGCTCAAGCAGAGAGAACACTGAAGGTTGTGAAGGGGGAAGCTAGCTTGAGGTGCTTGAGGAACCAAAGGAGGCCTATGGGGCTGAAGCATCATGAGTGGGGAAGAACGTGGTAGGAGGTGAGACCACAAAGACAGACCTCTCCACGTTATGTAGGTTCTTAAAGGTCAAGGAGAGAACTTTATGGGGTGATGGAGCCAGGATTTGTAACTAGACTTATTGCTCTCCAAACCTATATAATGCCTATAATAGAACGTTATCTATGTGTATCATACTTTTAAATACAGTGATGGAAAGTGAAACCTTTAGGCTGTTCAAAAATGTGGAATTAAGATGTCATATGAAGGTTTTATAAAAATTAATTACATTTATTACTAGGAAAAAGGCATATAGTTTTAGGCATAGTATTTGTCATTGATCTATTTTGTGAGGATATATGTTTTTAGAAGGCTAAACTATTCTTTAAAACTGTTGTGTATATTAAATCAGAGAACACCTAAATTCTAATTCTAGATTTATATCCCTATTTGTGATATTCTGCTTTTTGCTTGTTTTATAAAGAAAATTATGGCCTAGTGTTTCATTACATAGCCATAAATGTCCATGTAGTTCTGGGATTTATATACTTGCCTACATGATTTCAGGGATACTATGACTCTACTGGACATAGTTAACTTTTATATCAATCATCTCCTCTTAAAACTAATAGAGGAGGCTGGGCATGGTGGCTCACACCTGTAATCCTAGCACTTTGGGAGGCCAAAGCGGGTGGATCACCTGAGGTCAGGAGTTTGAGACCAGCCTGACCAACATGGCGAAACCCTGTCTTTACTAAAAATACAAAAAAATTAGCTCGGCATGGTGGCAGATGCCTGTAATCCCAGCTACTCGGGAGACTGAGGCAGGAGAATTGCTTGAACCCAGGAGGTGGAGGTTGCAGTGAGCTGAGATGGTGCCACTTACTCCAGCCTGGGCAAAGAGTGAGACTCCATCTCAAAAAAACAAAGAAATAAACAAAAAACAAACAAACAAACAAAACTAATAGAGGAGATACTTATATATATATTTGGTCACATCCTAAGGTCTGCACTCCAAGAGCAATTCTGAAAATTTAGGTTCACTGACATCATGATCTATGAATCTCTTCTGAAATGGTCATTCCGTTTCCACGATGGAACTCTAATACTCTAAAATTTGGAATGAATGAGGTTCTATGGCCTCCTGTTCAGTCTAAATGTCTTCACTTCCTTGAACAAGCCAGCAACAGCCTTGTTTTATTCCCTAGAATTTCAATCTCAGTGTGTTTAAATATTTTGTTACATCAGTAAGAAAGTCAAATTTTAATGATACTTGGGGATGTAGCAAAATGAGTGTTCAGAGCCTCTTAGCTCCAACTCTTTTAATCCTTCAATAAATTTAAAGAATCAAAACATCTGATGCCATTAAAATAGACTAGGCTTACATGCCCTATGTTGTCTTCTTCCAAATACCCTGTAAATAAGTACCAGTTAAGGGCATGAGCATGAAGAGAAATGGAGATCTTTATCTGTTTCTCCAGTTAACCATAGAGATCTAGCATACCTAGTTCATACCACATACTCTTTTCCAGAAAGAAAAATGAAGCCTGGGGTTCATAAGCCCTCTCTCCTGATGGAAATAAAATGTTGAAAACAATTTTTCCCTTTTTCTGCTGGTGCCACATCTGTGAGAAGTACAATTAGCTTTTCCATGTTTCCATGTTTAAACCAAACTTCTCAAATTTCATTTGGGCAGATGGTTAAGTTCAAGTCATGTGTCCTGGCTAATTGGATAAAACATTTTCCCCTGTAATATCACAGGCACAATGTTGACAAAGGTATCATGTGACAGGTACTTGCATACTCGACAGTGGGAACATAAAGGGATGAGGTCTTTGGGGAGGACAATTTGTCAATACATTTCAAGAGCCTTGTACGCTTCATACCCCTTACCCAGTGACCTCATGTATAGAAATCCAAACCAAGAAAGTGATGAAATGATGACAAAAGGTATACAAAGATGTTCACTGCAGCATTATTTATAACAGAAAAAAGTAGGACTCAAATATCCAAGAAGGGAATGCTTTAATTAGTTATGATGCACGTTTATGATGATTTTATAGCAACAGGAGTAATGTTTTCAAAGAATACTTCATGACATGAAGAAATTCTTATGAATTAACATTAAGTTATGAAACTAAGGCATAAACAGTATCTGGTGTAATATACCCATTAAAAAATTTACATATGGCCATAATGCCTTTGCTAGCCCCATGTTCACTAAGTCCCTAGATACTAAGAGGTCAATGAGGTCTGGCCCTTCTTGAACTACATTGTCCTGCTAATCTCATCCAAATGAAGAATTATGTGAAGTTTACAAAGTTCTTTAAGGAGTTATCTTTAGCAAGGAGTGGCAGAAACACAGAATGCAGCCCATCTATTTTCAGCAGTCTATCTAATGGAAAAGGGGAAGTTTTCAGATTTGGGCCTTTAAAAAGAGAGTGGCCTCTGTGAGGATTTCCATCCTTGGGACCTCTTTCCCTTCTCAATTTACCTGACCTTTCTTCTTTAACTCCATCTCCTTCCAGATCCCTGAGGGCCATGTTCTCATTCCCTCCTTTAGGAACTGTGCTCTTCATCTCTAAAGGAGGACAGTCTGCCTCTCTGACCTTTTCAGTATACCTGGTTTGGGTCAATTTTCCATCGATTACTACCCTTCTCAGCCATTATAAGATCAATGAATCACTGTTGATTTCCTCATTTGCTTCCTAAGAAGT
The DNA here is from genome assembly GCF_000001405.40 of Homo sapiens. Taxonomy (NCBI): domain Eukaryota; kingdom Metazoa; phylum Chordata; class Mammalia; order Primates; family Hominidae; genus Homo; species Homo sapiens. The sequence goes on along the minus strand of NC_000001.11, from coordinate 50,032,332 downwards.
TATCACATTTCACCAAGACAGTGGGTTGGGCATTCATATTTCTTGGAGACAATAAAAAATTTAGTAAGGACAGCATTTCCTTTCTATCAGTCGCATTTAGCTTTGCTCCTTTCAGAAGAGTAGCCCCTAGTATAATATTGTTGTGCTAGGAAGCTGTTGGTACTCTCCTGAGCTTGGTTTATTTTTCAAACCCACTAAACCAGCTGTCAGTGGCTCTTCCACTTTGTTACCCAGAAAGAGTGGTGTCAGTGCCAGTTAAATTCTCTTTGATGGCATGAGTTACCATGATTGAGAGACAGGAGCTAGTAAGGGGAGAGGTTTCTCCATTTTTAAATTGCTACAATGTCTCTTTCCCTAGGCTGTGAGTTTCTTCAAGCCAGTATCAAGTCTGACTCATCCAGATACTCAGCCATCATCGAGAAAATACTCTGCCCATTAAGTTAGGCTGCCTTTAAGTTATCGATATAATCTGAGAGCTTGGTATGGGGAAGGCTGGGAGGTAATGGAATGTATTAATGAAGAGCATGATCTTTTCAAGCTTCCTTCTAACTTCAGAATATTTTCCTTTCTTTTGAATTAAGCCATGTTTTAAAATTTTAGTATTTTATCCAGCATTTATATGTGTTCATGTAATCAAGGAGACCCTCCTCATTAACTTAGCTATGTTCACTCATGCTCATCTTTAAATTTTTTCTTTTTAATATTTGATATGTGCTTCCCAGATCTTCTCTCTATATGAAGTGTTTTCGCTCAGGCTGCTATAAGAAATAATATTAACTGGTGGCTTATATACAACGGAAATTTATTTCTCACAGTTCTGAATGCTGGAATTCCAAGATCAAGGTGAAGGTGTGGCTGGCTTTTGTTGAAGACCTCTTCCAGGCTGCAGACTGCTAACTTCTCACTGTATCCTCACATGGTAGAAAGATAGCTAGCTAGCTCTCTGGCCTCTCCTTGTAAGGGTACTATTCTTCTTGAGGGCTCCACCTTCATGACCTAATTACTTCCCAAAGTCTCCAACTCCAAATGCTATCACATTGAAAGCTTCAACATATAAATTTTTGGGGAACATAAACATTCAGTCCATAACATGAAAATAATTTCCTATGCCTCTAAACATTGCTGGGAGACCACTGAAGATAGTCATATGGTCTGGGAAAAAAGTTAATAAAATACCTGCTCCTTAGTTCTTTATTGCTCCAAGATACAGTCTCCATCTGTTGCAAGTTTTCTTCCTTTCCTTGTTAGGCCAACAGCCTCACTTCTATTTTTCTTGGTAGCTGGATTTACCACTTTTATTTAGCTCATGTTTATATCAGCAACTTGGTTTTAGTGTCTTGAGTACATAATTAGGAGTAGAATTTTTAGGTCATAAGAGTATGTTTAACTTTATAAGAAATTGCTGGCCGGGAATGGTGGCTCATGCCTGTAATCCCCGCACTTTGGGAGGCCGAGGTGGGAGGATTACCTGAGGTCAGGAGTTCGAGACCAGCCTGGCCAACATGGTGAAACCCCGTCTCTACTAAAAATACAAAAACTAGCTGGGCATGTGAGTGGCACATGCCTGTAATCCCAGCTACTAAGGAGGCTGAGGCAGGAGAATTGCTTGAGCCTGGGAGGTGGAGGTTGCAGTGAGCTGAAATTGTGCCACTGTACTCCAGCCTGGCTGACAGAGCAAGACTCTGTCTCAAAAAAAAAAAAAAAAAAAAAATTGCCAAACTGTTTTCCAAAGTAACTGTGCAAGTTTGCATTTTCACCAGCAATATATGAGAGTTTTAGTTGCTCTGCATCCTTACTAATATTTGGTATTCTTAGTCTTTGAAATTTTAACCATTATAGTGTTTGGTAGTGGTATCTCATTGTGATTTTAACTTGCATTTTCCTAATGACTAATGATATTGAACATCTTTTCACATGCTTATCATCCATTTGCATATCTTCTTGTTCAACCATTTTGTCCATAATTGGGTTGTTGGTCTTTGTCTTCTTAATACTGAGTTGAACAGCAGAAATTTTTAATTTTGATGAGGTCTGATTTATCAATTTTTTCTATGGTTACGCTTTTTGTGTCCTATGAACTCTGCCTAATCAAGGTCACAAAAATGTTTGTTGATGCTTTCTTCTAAAAGTTTTACAGTTTTTATTCTAGTTTTAGGTCTATGATCCACTTCAAGTTTATATTTGCATATGGTAAAGGTATTGGTCCAAGTTCATGTTACTTTTGCATATAGATAACCAATTGCTCTACTACCATTTGTTTAAAAAGCTGTCTTTCCCCATTGATTACCCTAGCTCTTTTGTCAAAAAAAATCAATGTACCATACATGTATAACCTTTTTCTGGATGCTATTCTGTTGTATTGATCTATAAAATATGTCTATATGCTGTATGTTATGTGATTATGCAAATCAGATGCTGTTTTTATTATTGTAGCATTATAGTAAACCTTGAAACCAAGTAGTGTAAGTCCTTCAATTTAGTAATTTATTATTAAGTATGTTTTTCTTTCTTTTGAGATGGAGTCTTGCTCTGTTGCCCAGGCTGGAGTGCAGTGGTGTGATCTTGGCTCACTGCAACCTCTGCTGCCCGGGTTCAAGCAATCCTGCTTCAGCCTCCCAAGTAGCTGGGATTATAGGCACTGGCCGCCATGCCTGGCTAATTTTTGTACTTTTAGTAGAGATGAGTTTCACCATGTTGGCCAGGCTGGTTTTGAACTCCTGACCTTAAGTGATCCACCCACCTCGCCCTCCCAAAGTTCTGGGATTACAGACATGAGCAACCAAGGCACCTAGCCTAGTACGTTTTTCTTTTACAAAATGTTTTGGCTCTTCTAGTTCCTTTATTTATATATAAATTTTAAAATTAGCTTGTCATTTTTAATTATAAAATTTATTTAATGACTGGGATTTTGATGGAGAGTGCATTGAATTTATAAATTGCTATTGTCCAATGAAACTTTTGGTGATTATGGAACTATTCTTTTTTTAAAAATTAAATTAAATTAATTTATTTATTTTGAGATGGTCTCACTCTGTTGCCCATGCTGGGGTGCAGTGGCATGATCTTGGCTCATTGCACTGCAGCCTCTGCCTCCTGGGCTCATGATCCCCCCACCTCAACCTCCTGAGTAGCTGGGACCACAGGCATGCACCACCATGTTTGGCTAATTTTTGCATTTTTAGTAGAAATGGGGTTTTGCCATGTTGGCCAGCCTGGTCTTGAACTCCTGAGCTCAAGCAGTCCACCTGCTTTGGCCTCCCAAAGTGCTGGGATTACAGGTGTGAGCCATTGTGCCCAGCTGAGAACTATTCTTTATCTGCTTTGTTTAATGTGGTAGCCACTAGCCATATATGGCTATTAAAAACTTGTAATTTGGCTAGTTTGACCAAAGAACTTTAATTTTAATTTAATTTTAATTAATATAAAGTTAAATAGCTACATGTAGCTATTGGATATTTATTGGATAGTGGAGCTTATAGATAAGTTTCAGGAGAATTGACATCTTAACAATATTGTTTTCTGATCCATGAACATGGTGTATATCTTCATTTATTTAGGTCTTCTTTAATTTCTTTCAAAAATAGTTTATAGTTTTCACTGTACAAGTCTAGCACATATTTTGTTAAATTTATCTGTACTTTTATTTTTATGTTGTAAATAGTATTATTTTCTTAACCTGAAGTTTTTTTGTTAGTATATAGAAATGCAATTGACGTGCATATAGAAAACTCGCTTATTAGTTCTAGTAGCTTTTTGTACATTCCTTTGGATTTTCTAAGTATACAAACAATCATGTCTTTTGTAAATATAGACATTTTTATATTTTCCTTCTCAGTCTATCTGAATTTTATTTTTGTCTTATTCTACTGGCTAGGACTTCCAGTGCAATATTAAATAAAAGTGTTGACAGTGGACATCCTTCTCTTCTTCCTGATTTATAGAGGAAAGCATTAATTACTTGTTTAATTACTTTCCATTCACCCCATTGGTGAGGGGAAATTCCTGCCCTGGCGTTATGGGAATGGCTGAATACATGACACCTGACATGACAGATGAGATTGAGAGCAGTTTATTAGTCACATATACTCACAGCCCAGGAGAAGATGACATTGTACACCATCAAAGGGCCAAATGGAGGTTATACTCAGGAACACAGTGAACAATCAGTGGCTGTAGGAAGCAGGCTTTGTAGTTTCAAAAGGGTTGAGTGCTTCCCTGTTTCCTATGAGAGGATTTAATTGGCTTGTTTGAATAATTCTGTGGATTGGTAGGGAACTGAAACCACTCAGGGATAATCGGAACTATACCTGATCTGTTTGATAAGGAGTGTTGTTTGACTTGGAGACCTTATCTGTGTGAGGAGAATGGGGAGGAGAACTTGTGGTTAGGTAATTCCAGGCCCTCCTGTTTTTACTAGATGTGAAGGCAGCATATAGTGTTATTTTTAGGCCTTACACCATAAGCATTCAGTAATTCATTATTAAGAATGATGTTATACATCTTCTTGCTGAGAAGACCTCTATAATTATGTAATGTCCTCTTTAACTATTTTAGCAATATATTCTGTTCTGAAGTCTACTTTGATATTAATCCAGCCTTCTTTGGATAAGTGTTTGTAAAGTCTGTTTTTCCTTCTGTTTACTTTAACCCATATATATCTTTATATTTATAGTAAATTTCTTGTATACAGCATAGAATTAGGTCTCGCTTATTTTTTCCCCCAATTCACTCTGTCAATCTCTGCCTTTTAATTAGAGTGTTTAGACCTGTGCTTTCCAGTATGGTAGCTGCCGGCCATATGTGTCTTCTGAGCACTTGAAAGGTGGCTAATTCAGATTGAAACATGCTGTGGGTGTAAAACACAAACCTGATTTTAAAGACATAGTATGAAAATGTATATAAAATATCTCATTATAATGTTTTGGCCAGGTGTGGTGGCTCACACATATCCCAGCACTTTGGAAGGCCGAATCACTTGAGGTCAGAAGTTTGAGACTAGCTGGCCAACATGGTAAAATCCAGATTCTACTAAAACAAAATACATGGTGGCATGGTGGTCTGTGCTTGTAGTCCCAGCTACTCAGGAGGCTGAGGCAGGAGAATCACTTGAACCGGTGAAGCAGAGGTTGCAGTGAGCCAAGATTGCGCCACTGCACTCCAGCCTCAGTGACAGAAACTATGTCTCCAAAAAAAAAAAAAAAACTATTTGTTAAATATTTCTGAAGGACATAGAAGACTTAAACAGATTATAAGATATATCATGTACTTGGATAAAAGGACTCAGTATCATAAAGATGTCATTTCTCCCTAAATTAATCTATAAATTTATCACAATTCTAATAAAATACCAGCAACATTATTACTTTTTTCTTTTTTTCTTTTTTTTTTTTTTGCAATTAGGCAAGCTGATTTAAAATTTTACATGGAAAGAGTAAACAACAATAGCCTGTTTATTAAAGAGCAGAATAACAAGTATGTCCTAAGAATATAAATGTTGGATATGGTATGATTAAGTGGGTGTGGCCACAGGAGTAAATGAGAACAAGGCTTGGAAAGAAGTTTATGCCATGAAGGGTCACAGGGGAAACACCAGGTTTTGGTTTGGTGTCAGAACACAGGAGCAAGGGGAAATCCTAGGCCAAAGCCTTTATTGGGATTTCTGTGAGAATCGCAAGGTAGAGCAGAGTAAACATTTAGGATTGGCTATTTTGAATACTTCTGGTGGGCTGTGGCTATAGATGCCCATCAAGGGGATCTCTCTTTAGTGCTCCTCCACTTTGCTGAGCATGCCTGTGTCATTGCTCTTACCACATTGTTTGGAAATTAATTGTAAACTGAATTTGTGCATGTTAATCCTTTCTTTCCAATTAGTTTGTAAACTTCAAAGGCATGGTATTTTTGATGTGAAAATTACATGAGATAACACAGATGAATTTCCTAGCATAATTTCAGTCTTCCCTGAGTCTGCTACTTTCTGCCTGAAACTTTGTATAAGTCACTTAAACTCTGTGAGCCTCAATTTCATCTTCTGTACAAGAGGCTGATATTAATACAAATATCATAATGCTGCTCTGAGAATGAAATGAGTTTGTGCTCGTAAAAATATGATTATAAATTAAATATTTCTCTCATTCCATTCTGCATCTAACTTAGTGGCCAGGCACATGGAAGGTATCATTTTAATGAATGTTTATGGAGGGAGTGGGTGAATCCTACAGGGTATATTTTGCTTGAAAGAAGGCACCCTTGTTGTGGGTGGGTGTTTTCTGTGGAGACAGAAATCATAGGAGGTCTCTGGGGAAGACAGACCTCCCAGGGACATATGAATGGTAGCACGGGGAAACTAATTCCCAGGAGCCCATGTAGGGGACGTTTTCCCCCCACTTCCCATGCTGTGTTATTTTTCACACAACAAAAGGGAAGTCTCTGAAGACTCCAGCAGTAGTGAAGAAGTCTATACTCCCTCCTGCACTGCTTCCTGAGGAATAGCTGACACAGAGGAGAACCGAACCTGGTCCTGTCAGCAAGCTGGTTTTCCAGGCTTTTCGTCTCCTCTGCCCAGTAAGGCATTTGTCTATCAATTCTGACTAACAAAACTTTCTGCAGTGATGGAAATGTTCTATACATATGTTGTCCAATATGGTAGCCAGTAGCCACATGTAGCTATTGAGCACTTGAAAAGTGGCAATTCTGATTAAATAACTGAGTTCTAAATTTTACTTAAAATTTAAATTGACCAATGTGGTTCAATTTAATAATGTTATATTTGTCTCTTTATCCTCAGCATCTGCACAGAGCCTGGCTCATACTCATCAAATGCATTTTCATTCATCACCCTATTTGTGTCTTAGAGCTACTCTTTGTGGTAGGCAGGACCTTTGTCTCAGTTTGTTGGAAGAGGAAACTGAGGCTCAGTAAGTTTAAGTGATTTGCCCAAGATTATAAAGCTATAACATCAGTCTGAGTAGAACCCACATCTTTCTCTTTATTTTTCCATCTCCCTATACTTAATGTAGTTCTTTTGTTCTTCTTAGCCCTTATTGACTCCTCCGACACCGAAATTCCCAAAACCCTCACAGCCTTTACATAAGTGTCATTAGGACTGTGGAAAGCACATATATATTCATCTTGATAGTTGTGTGGACATGGCTTGTGAATTTTAAACTGTTCAAATGTGAGAGATAATTCTGATAGCTATTTTCATGTAACTTTCTGTACAAGATTCTTATCCCTGATTTTAATGCAGATGAATGGACAGTTCCATGCATGTGGCCAGCATCTTACTTAGAAGGCCTTCCGGTCCGTCTCTGCATTTCTGCCTCAAGGCTTTCTCTCAAACTCTAGAAGTCTGCTCAGCCCTGGCAAGCATAACCAGGAAATGTGAGAGAGTTCAAGCTGGAAGGTGGAGAGCAACCCTCAACCAATGGAGACAGAAATTAGGAGACAAATGCCCCAGACTCTGTGTTCTTCAGTGGGACAACGGCAGGCACACATTCTACCCTGTTTTTCAGAGTCTGAAGCAAGATTAAAAATAGTTGTCTACTAAAGCAATCAGCTCAATAACACATTTTTCTTAGCGTTTTTCCCCCTTCCCTCTTTCACTCTCTCCACCTCATTTCCTTTCAGATTACCACCATTTTCCATTCAGCAGACATTGACTGAGATCCTACTTTGTGTCATGCACCACGCTGCACTATGGAGTATACAAAGATAAGAGAACAACCGTAGGTATCAGAGAGCTCATGGTCGAGAAGGAAATAATGCATAAAGCATTTGGAATAGAGGGAATATACAGGGGACTGCGGGAGGGCAGAGCTGGTCAGGACGGGTAATGTTCCAGCTTGGTTTTAGACGATAACGGCGTGTCACTACTGAAAGGTGGGAAACAGCAGCCCATATTTACTGAAAAATACGTCAGCAAAAGGATAAGTCTTTTCTGGGGTTGAGGGTTGCTGTCGCAGAGGGGCAAGGAGCCAGAACCCTTTGGGCCTCTGTGTGTTTGGGTTGGGGTGGGCACACAGTTGGTTTTCAGTGCATTTCAGTTGAAGACGAGTAACCCAGGCAAACCAAGGGGAGAAGCTTTGGGAAATCAAGAAACCTGTCCCAAGTCCCCAAAGTTGAGCACCAACCACAGAAAAGCCAGTTTAGCTAGTCTGGGCGGTCAGTACGAGGACCCCGGTCGCCGTCAGGAAAGCGCCATCCCTACAGACCTGGCCCCTGTGCTCTAGGGGTGGCGGAGCCTGCTCAGTTGCCAGGATGCGGTGGATCGGTTGCGGAGGAGCAGCGCCCCGGGGCCCAAGTCCCAGCTCAGGCCCGGGCTCGCGCCGCGGGGGCGGGGCCTTGGACGCACGCTCCTCCCAGGCGTCCCTCCCGCCCTCAGCCGCGCGCCGGCCACCCGCGCGCCTGCCGCCCGTTGCCCAGGCAACCGTCGTGCCGCGTCTTCCTGAGGTAGCTCCTGTCAGCCCACTGATCCCACCACCCGCTCCCTACTGCCCCGCGGTCTTCGCGTGAGCTCGGAGACTGAGGGACAACAAAAATGGCGGAGGGGAGCCAGTCGGCGCCTGAGGCAGGTCTGTGGGGGCGGCCGATCTGGGGAAGGCTGAGGCGGCCAGGCTGTCCTGGGTCTCAGGCAACAGGGGACTCGGGCATGGTCCTACTCCTGAGGAGGCGGTCCTGTATATTTGCGCGGTGGGTTATGACTTCAGGGTCAGGGGTCAAGGGTGGCGTGCACCCCTCTGAATGGCGGGCAGGGACCTCGAAGTCCGGGTGGTGGAGGGGAGTGTGGGTTAGTGTGCACACTTCTGACAGAACATGGGCCCGAAAGGGGCTGGGACCTGAGGGAAGAGACAGGATCTTAATCCTGGGATCACCTGTGGTGAAGGCTAATCCTAGGGCTAGGCTGTGTCATGGAAAGGGTGTACACTGCCCTGTGGGAGCATGGGAGAGATCCCTAAAGGGGCATGATTTGGGCTCGGGGTGGGAGTAGGAGGCTCTGACTCTAAAGAGGGAGGTATACGTGGAAGGTGTGTTACTTTAATATCAGACAGTGCCATGGAAGGGGGAGTTAGAGTATTTGTGTTTGGGGATGTGCAGTGTCCTCAGGGTCACTCCTGGTCACAGAGAAATTTATGCAAATAATTCTTGTATGGGTCCTTAAAAAGACAAGAGGCCTTGAGGGGATACCCGGAGCCCCAGTCCTTTAGGAGCCTACCAAAGGAGGCTGGAGCGTGAGTGTGAGTGTGTGTGGGTTCAATGATCTTGAAGGTCATTCAGAATCAAAGGAGTGCATGTCCACACTTCTGTGGGTAGAAGATAGCCTTTAAGGGACAGGAAGACTGACAGGAAGGGAGACCCAGGATCCTATTCCTGAGGGGACCCCTTGTGCATATGGCTGGGATTTGTGAGATACTGACTTTAAGTTTCTCACAGGGTCATAGAAGAAAGCAAAGGTTTTTACAGTTTTGAGTATGTGGGAGGGAGTTTGCCTCTAAATGAGGCTGACCACTGAAGAACTGGATGTTACGGGATGGCATGGGTGTGTGGGTAGAAAAGAAGTGGCTTTGGGAATATGTGTGTGATGGGTGTTGGCAGTGGTATACATAACCTTGTATATATGTCCTGATCAGGTATTATCATTACAAGAGTGATCCACTTGAATTACTTTGGTCCTGGTGTGTGTGTGTGTGTGTGTGTGTGTGTGTGTGTGTGTGTGTGTGTGGTTATGGTACATACACACCACACCCCAGAAACTGGAACTGAAAACTATGACACCCTCAGAAATAAGTTCGAGGAACCATTATGTCTCAAGGCCTTCATTATTTCTCTTTCTTTCATGGCACCTCTGTTTTATTGAGTAGCTCCTCTACTCATTTTATAGTTTTAGCTCCCTCATAACTTGAACAGGCTTATTCCTTTATTCATTCATCCACTCAACAAATATCGAGTGCTAACTATATGCCTGGCAATAAGTTAGGCATTGGAAATTCCCTGCTTTGGATGAGCTTACCTTGTTCTTCTTTTCCTTTTTTTCTCATAGCATTTATTGCCTTTGAACATACTATTTAATTTACTTGCTTGTATTGCTTATTTCCTGTCTCCTTCCACTACAATGTAAGCTCTACAAGGGCATTGTTTTATCAATACCACATGTCTAGAACTTTTCTAAGTGTATAGTATGTTCTCAATAAAGATTTCTTAAATGAATAACTGAATTACTGATATTGTCTGGAAGTGATATTTTAGCTGACATATGATAGGGATTGGATAATTGAAAAAAAGGGCAAAGAGTGGTCGAGGCAGCAGGAAAACCATGTGCAAAGAACCCAAGCAGGTGGAAACATGTTATGCTGTGTTTGAGGAACTGAAAGGAGACAAGTGTGGGTACATGTGGGGCAATGGGAAGAGAGAAGAGGTACGCTGAAGCCAGATCTTCCAGTACTTTGTAGAATATGATATGAATTTGGGTCAGAAATCCTAAGAATAATGGGAAGCCATTGAAGGCTTTTAAGTGGGAGCATGCCATGATTAGAATAATTAAAAAATAACTCTGGCTACAATGTGGAGAGTACAGAGGATACAAGAGTGGATATAGGATATACTCTCCACCAGCTACATTGAGGAGAGTACAGAGGATACAAGAATGCATATAGAGAGACCTTAGAAGGTAGCAGTGGAGATGAAGAGAAGGAATTGAGAAATACTTAGGAGATAAAATTAATAGGACTTAGTGAAATATGAGGATGATGGAGAAGGAAGTATCGAAGACTACTTCTCATTTTCTAATTTGTTCAACTGGATAGTTAGTGGTGCCATTATTGGGATAGGGAGCATTGGAAGGGGCCTTGGGTAGGTGTGAGAGGAAAGATCATTAATTTGGTTTTAGATAAGTGGAGATTGAGGTATCTTTAGGACATCCAGATAAGCAGAGAGATTGACAAGGCAGTTGAATTTACAAGAAAAGTGTAAACTGGCATAGAGATAATTATTTTGACATAGAAATAATTACTCAAGCCATGGGTGTGGATGAAATTGCCTAGAGGGAGAAGAGGCCTGGGATGAAGTGTTGAGTAGCTGCAATATTTCAATGCCTTCCAAAGAGACTGAGAAGGTGCGACTGGAGAGATTAGAGCACAGCTAAAGGAATGTTTCAAGATAAATGGAATACTCAGTAGACTGAATGCTGCCAAACAATATAAAATGAAGGGCTAAAAAACTAGATTTAGCAACAGAGAGGTCATTGGTAACATTGATGGTAGAAAATTGATGATGGTAAAAAGCCAGGTCATTTAGGCAAATAATGCCTCAGTCTTTGTTTAATTCAAATTTCTGAGAGAGATAATTTTATTGACCCTTATTGTCTTTTACCACTAAATCACAGTCCAGTGTCAGGATTGACTGGTTTTAGATTAGGTGTCCAGCTATTGCTGGCTGGAGTCACCTGATACAAAATATGGCCATCTGGTAATTTCTTAATCTCACTTGAAATAGCCAACATTTATGAAGTGTTTATTTTGTACCACGCATTGTACTAAGTGCTTTATACATTTTACTTCAGTCTCATAACAACTCTTTAAGGTATTCTCTATGTTTTATATGTGGAGAAGTTTTGGCACGGAGAAGTTGACAACTTAATTAAGATCTGCAAAGAATTAGTAGAAGATTAGTTTTTTTGACAATTTAAATGTTACCCAGATTCATTATTTGGCTTTGTGTTTGTATTACAACATACTACGTTCTGAAGAAATCATAGCCATGATGAAAATCCCTGCCTTACAGGAAATATTCTAAACTAAGCATATTCTAACAAGGTGAAATGGAAAGAAATGGGCTCAGATCCTTGTGTAAACCCTACTTTTGTGACTGTGACTTATTATATGTGGACCTTGGACTCAAGTTTTATGATCTTCAGTTTCCTCATTTGTAAAATGGGGATGATATTTGCAGGATAGCTGTGAATATTAGAGATCATATACTTGAAGTGTCCAATAAATGTTATGTCCGTAGTTCACTTGAAGCTTGAATATAAAAAATTTCAAATGTATTGCATATACTTTACATATAAAAGAAATTATATAAACATACAATGATGAGTATAAGAAATTCTGTTTTTTCTTCATTGGTTTTTCACTGCTTTGCTGTCAGAAGAAAGGCAGACATTAAGTTTTGGAGAATGTAGAATTGTTACCTGAACTGTGTATCATGGGACCGGTCTCTGTGTGAGGTAGATTTTGAGGAATTTCTTGGAGGAATAAGGGACACTTAAGATATCTTAAGCATGCTTTTATATGTAAAGTATATGCAATACATTAGAAATTTTTTATATTCAAGCTTCTTACAGAGCATGTAGATAGCTCTGTAAGAGGGTCAGATTTATAAAAGGAAGTTTCTTCTTTTAAATCTTGTGCTTTAAAATGGGGACACAAATGTCAGGACTTTTTCCCTATAAATTTGATTATCAATACTAATAAAAAAGAAAACCTTACAGTTAATTACATGTAGGAGTATTAGTCTCATGCTAGATTGCACCTGCTTCTTTTTCTTAGCTTCTTCTCCCTCTCTTCCAGCTATCTTAAAAAAGCTTTTATTTTAGTTACCCGGTAAAATAATTTGTTTTTCTATTTTGTCAAGTTATTCTGTGGAAGCCCATGTAGGCAAACATTTTTTTAAATGATGCAGTCTGTTAAAATGGACCGTACCTTTATCACTCTCTGTGAAATAAATGGGTCTATTTTAAAAAGCAGGTTTATATGAATCAGAAACCAATTATGGGCAGAATGTTGAAATTGTAAAACGCCTTAGAAATGAGAATATTGTTTGATAGCTTGTGTTAGTGGTTGGACAAAGTAATAGTTAAGCCTTTTTTGTTTTAGTACCTGTATTTAACTGGGGATAATAACAGCTACTTTTAAGGTGAAAATTAGAGATAAGTTATGGAAAGTATACAATGTCTTACACCCCCAGAGAAATGATATCTTAATTGGTGTCTGTGTGTGTTTATGTGTGTGTGTGTGTGTGTGTGTGTGTGTGAGAGAGAGAGAGAGAGAGAGAGAGAGAGAGAGAGAGAGAGAGAATATTTTTTTTCCTAAAGGCATAGGAGAAAATCACCTTTAAAAGAAGAGGAAATCCAGGTCTGCAGTCCCTTATCTGGCAGGTATGGATGCAAATATATTTCAGAACTCAGATTTCTTTTTATTATGGAAAGGCAATACTGCATATGTACTGTCAATTACATAATACCCCCAATGGGGTGTGAGATAGTAAGATGTAATCAAACACATCAATATCACATTCACAGTAAGTGAATAAAAATTATAAACAGAGTCACATAAATTTGGGTTGGATTTTGCTATCAAATTAATTTTGGTGCTAAAGTTAGATATTTGGTGATTTTGGAATTATGGAAAAGGGAATGTGGACTTACATAATTTTATTCATTTTTGGAAATATTTTCAAAAGTTTAAAATATTTTTCTCACTTTTAGATTTTCTATATTATAAGTGAGCTATAACATAATATTAATATCTCAAAAGTATTGAGACAGAAAACTATTTTTTGACAGAAAGTTTATGTGCTTGTTTCTTCTAAGGCTCTTTGATCATGTCTGTATTTCTGAGATCCGTGAATGTTGTAATTTGCTTCAGTTTCAGCATTGTGGCTCAGTGTCACTTTCAATGAAAGCTACTAAAGATCTATATATATTAAGAAAGTCAGAGGATGTGAATATTTTGCATATATATTCTAAATAAAATCACAGCTTTCTCTTTGAGTCATTTAAGAACAGCACAGTTCTATGTGAGTTTCAGAGTATTTTTATTAGTTGTTAAATTTCAGCAATGGAGTATTAATTTTAATACAGATTTAAGGAAAAATTTCATTCTTAGATGAATTTGATGTTTCTCATTATAAAAATTATTGCAAGTTTAAAAGCTTGCAGTACTTCATTGATAGTGTTCACCATATTGGAATATGCTAATCTTTGCTTTTTATATTCCTCATTTATTTAATGGGATCCATAAAACAAATTTCTCTTTTTTAAAACTTCAAAGGAAGATGTTTTTATTTGTCATATGTATTTAAGAACTGTTGGGTGTATACTTTTGAGTCTCTAAACAGACTTGGAAAAAAGTGTACTTTCATGTCATCTGAAGGAAAACAAAGCAATGAAACACAAAAAGACTTCTAAAATTTTATATAGGATTGAAAACTTTTATATAAGATTGTCAATTCCTAAATAAATATTTTGAAAAATATTATAGAAATAAATCTCTTGGGGAAGGGACATCAAAAACAACCTGCCAATAATTACAGTTTGCTTGTCTTTCTTTCAGGAGTAATAGATGAATCTCTGTGTCTTGGCTTTGTGGAAGAAATTACTATTATGGGCTGTGTTACTTTATTTATGTATTTATGTATGTTTGTATTTTTATTTTATTCCATTTCAACTTTTATTTTAGGCTCATGGGGTACATACACAGGTTTGTTATATGGATAAATTGCATGTTGCTGGGGTTTGGTGTACAGGTTATTTCATCACCCAGCTAATAAGCATAGTATCCAACAGGTGGTTTTTCAACCCTCACCCTCCTGCCCCTCTCTACCCTAAAGCAGGTCTTGGTGTCTTTTGTTCCCTTCTTTGTCTCCATGTGTAATTAGTGTTTAGCTTCCACTTATAAGTGAGAACATGCGGTACTTGGTTTTCTGTTCCTGCGTTAATTCCCTTAGTATAATGGCCTCCAGCTCCACCTATGTTGCTGCAAAGGACATGATCTTGTTTCTTTATATGGCTTTCTTTTTTATGTGTAGTATTCTGTGGTATATATGTATATAATAATTGAGGAGTAGGCTAGGATTTTCGCAGTTGTATTTGATTGAGTCCTCCTCAACTGCCCACTATAATGGATAGGATTGTGATAGATAGGCGGATGTTCATGTTTATTGATGGGAAAATTTGAAATATAATCGAGATAGGGGCTAGTTTTTGTCATGTAAGGAGAAGTATGCCAGATATTAGAGAAGTTCCTTGGGTCCTCTCTGGGACTCAGAAGTGAAAGGGGGCTATTCCTAGTTTTATTACTAGGGCCGTTATTATTATTAAGGATGAAAATTGATTAATAGTATTTATTATTGTTCATTGTCCAGAAGACAGGTTATTGGAAATGATAGCTATCATGAGAATTATAGATGTGGTTGCTTGTGTAAAGAAATATTTGCTGATGGCTTCTGTAGAGCGGGGATTTATTTTATGTATATATATATATATCACATTTTCTTTTCCCTGTCCACTGTTGATGGGCTTTGGGTTGATTCCATGTCTTTCCTATTGTGAATAGTGTGGCGATGAACGTATGTGTGCATGTGTCTTTATGGTAGAACAATTTAGATTTCTTTGGGTATATACTCAGTAGTGGGATTGCTAGATCAAATGGTAGTTCTAAGTTCTTTGAGAAATCTCCAAAGTGCTTTCTACAGCAGCTGAACTAATTTATATTCCTATTAACTATGTGTATGTGTTCCCCTTTCTCTGCAGCCTCTCCAGCATCTGTTGCTTTTTGACTTTTTAGTAATAGCCATTCTGACTGGTGTGAAATGGTATTTCACTGTGGTTTTGATTTGCATTTCTCCAATAATTAGTGATGTTGAGCATTTATCATATGCTTGTTGGCCGCATGTATGTGTGTGCTGAGCATTGCTTGTTGGCCACATATATGTCTTCTGAGAACTGCCTGTTCATCTCCTTTGCCCGCTTTTTATTATTTTTATTTATTATTTTTTGAGACAAAGTCACACTCTGTCACCTAAGATGGAGTACAGTGGCACAATCTTTGCTCACTGCAATCTCTGCCTCCTGGGTTCAAGTGATTGTCCTGCCTCAGCCTCCTGAGTAGCTGGGATTACAAGCACACACCACCATGCCTGGCTAATTTTTGTGTTTTTTAGTAGAGGTGGGTTTTGCCATGTTGGCCAGGCTGGTCTGGAACTCCTGACCTTAGGTGATCTGCCCACCTTGGCCTCCCAAAGTGATACGATTACAGGCATGAGCCACCACGCCCAGCCTGTTAATTTGTTTAAGTTCCTTATAGATTCTGGATATTAGACCTTAGTTGAATGCATAGTTTGCAAAAGTTTTCTCCCATTCTGTAGGTTGTCTGATTACTCTGTTGATAGTTTCTTTTGCTGTGCAGAAGCTCTTTAGTTTAATTAGGTCACACTTGTCAATTTTTGTTTTTGTTGCAGTTGCTTTTCATGTCTCCATCATCAAATCTTTGCCAGGGCCTATGTGCAAAATGGTATTTCCCAAGTTTTCTTTAGGGTTTTTACAGTTTTAGTTTTTACATTTAAGTCATTAATCCATCTTGAGTTGATTTTTGTATATGTTTCAATCTTCTTCATGTGACTAGCCAGTTATCCCAGCACTGTTTATTGAATAGGGAGTCATTTCCCTATTGCTTGTTTTTGTCTACTTTGTTGAAGATCAGATAGTTGTAGATGTGCAGCTTTATTTCTGCTTCCTCTGTTCTGTTCCATGGGTCTTTGTGTCTGTTTTTGTACTAGTACCATGCTGTTTTAGTTACTGTAGTGTTGTAGTATAGTTTGAAGTCAGGTAATGTGATGCCTCTGGCTTTGTTTTTTTTGTTTGTTTTTGCTTAGAATTGCTTTGGGTATATTTATTTATGTTTTGAGACAGGGTCTTGCACTGTCATTCAGGCTGCAATACTGTAGAATGATCATGGCTCACTGCAGCCTTGATTTCCCAGCTCAAGTGATGGTCTCATCTCAGCCTCCCAACTGGCTGGAACTACAGGCACATGCCACCACGCATAGCTAATTTTTTAATATTTTGTAGAGGCAAGGTCTCACTCTGTTTCACAGGATTTTTATTTGTTTTTAAAATTACTTGTTTATTCAAAACTATACTGAATACCTTCTATGCATCAAGCATTGTGCTAAACTCTGGAAATTCACAGATGTATTATAAAAAGTCCTTGCCTTCAAGGAGCTCCTATCCTAGTGGAGGAGAAATAGAGCTAGAAAATTATCATTCAGGCAACATAGAGTTGTACACAGAATTCTGAGGCCAGAGAACGGTTCCCTGACAGCCTGGGGGTAGTGGTCGTAGTTCAAGAAGGTGTCTTAGATTAGAATAAGGGACACATTAATTGAGTCTTGAATGATGAGAAGGAATTAGCCCAGTGGAAGTGGTAGGCAGAAGTGTGGAGAGAAGGAATGAAGGGCAGAGAAAACAACATGTGCATCACAAACTTGTGGAGGTGAGAGAATAATGCTCACTTAGAATGTTGTTAAAATTGCACACCTATTAACAGAGCTAAAGACTATATTTCTTCCTTTCTCCTCAGATTCTTAAACATTTCTGGAGTCATAGATTCCCTTGATTAACTGATAAAAACCAATGAATTCTTCCTCATGGAAATGCACAGTACGTGCAAGCACACAAAAATTTGAAATGATTTCAAGGTATGAAATCCTGAAGCTCAAATTAAAAATCCTTTTGGCTGGGCATGGTAGCTGATGCCTGTAATCCCAGCACTTTGGGAGGCCAAGGCAGGTGGATCACCTGAGGTCAGGAGTTCGAGACCAGCCTGGCCAACGTGGTGAATCCCCGTCTCTACTAGATATACAAAAATTAGCCGGGCGTGTTGGCTTGTGCCTGTAGTCCCAGCTACTCAGGAGGTTGAGGCAGGAGAATTGCTTGAGCCTGGGAGGTGGAGGTTGCAGTGAGCTGAGACTATACCATTGCACAGAGCAAGACTCTCTCCAAAAAAAAAAAAAAAAAAAAAAGAAATCCTCTGTTCATTAGTTATGAGGTCTATTTAGGAAACTGATCTTGAAAGTAGGAATACTTTGGTGAAAAGGGTTGATCTAATAACATTTGTATTAGAGCAGGTCCAAAGCAAATGCTGGCCCCTAAATTGTTTTGTTTATCTTTTTCTTTATCTTTTTTTTTTTTCGAGACAAAGTCCCACTTGGCCAGGCTGGAGTGCAGTAGTGTGATCTTGGCTCACTGCAGCCTCCACCTCCTGGGTTCAAGTGATTCTCCTACCTCAGCCTCCCAAGTAGCTGGGACTACAGGTGCATGCCACCACGCCCAGCTAATTTTTGTATTTTTAGTAGTGACAGGGTTTCACCGTGTTGGCCATGATGGTCTCGATCTCTTGACCTCGTGATCTGCCTGCCTCAGCCTCCCAAAGTGTTGGGATTACATGTGTGAGCCACCACACCTGGCCTTTAAAACCTCATTTGGATGTATCTGTCTCTGTTGACAGTGTGACATAATAAATAGGGCATGGATTTTGAAATTACAAAGATAAGATTTAAAACATTCAACTCTACCAATTAATGTGTAATAGTGTTTCTCTAACCCAGTTTTCATGTTTAAATGGAGATACTAGTCCTTTATCAAATAGGGTTGTGAGGTGTATGTAGTGCATATAGTATAGGAGAAACTGTCTTCACTAAGTAATTGGATTAATTGGTGCCTTTCATTCTATTAGACATACAGCTTTATACATGTTTAAAGATCTTCTCCAGTCATGTAACTACCCCAGGTGCTTTAAGAAAACAATTTTATAAATGTATTTGGATGGAACATCAGACCCTGTGTCATAAACATATTAGGAAGAACTTAATAATTTTAATAAAAATTGGAAATATGTTCCTAAGCTGTAATACTGTAACTTCTTATCTTAGTAGTGTCATTACCAATGATGTACCATCACAAGAATAGCAGTGATTATGGGAAATGCTAGTAAACTTTTTGCAGCTTACTAACAATTGTAAATGTTTTAAACTTTCCTATAAAAGACTAGAAAGCTTTTATCTCAGTTTAGGTTTATCAAATTGTGGGGTCTTTAATTTGCATCACACATATTATACAGCTGGATGAAAACCAAATGATTTAATAAAAGTGGTGGGTAATTTTTTATTCTTTTCTCTAATGAGACTGATTCTTTTGCTTCAATTTAATAGAAACTACACATGGTCTAGGACTCAGCTTCACGAGAGAAACTTTCCCCTATATTTTGAGGAAGGACTCATGATCTTATTTACTCTTTTTATTAATTCCTATAACCTGATTTAATAAAGCCCTAAGACAGAGGACTATTTCTTCCTTTAAATTCACATTTGCTAGTTTGGGACTAATTTCGTGTTGTGTTGTACTGATTAGAGCTTTTCTATTTCTGGAAGATTTTACATTTTGACTAGATCAGTGTATCTTTAATTCGATAGAGTTTCTTCAATTAAGGAACTTAATAGACAACTGAAGTACTGTATATATTTTTAATGGAAATTGGAAGTGGTTATATTCTGAGACAATGGGTGTTGTAACTAACTACTGAAACAAATTATGATTCCAGGGTCACATTACTTTTTGGTGGAAACAAACCAGGGCATGTTTTTTTCCTTTTATTATTTGTACATCCTTACGATCAACGTGGTTTCAAGTTGGCAAAAAAGTTGTTCTCAGAAAATTTTACATGTGATCCTGAAAAAGTATAATTTTCTTCAGATATCTAATTTTAATGCAGTTTCACATTTAGGCTATCAAAAGTTGCCAACTCACCCTTGAAAACACACTATACACTTAAAAAGCTCTGGGAATGAGCTTCTTGCTTTTAGGGTGACAAAAGCATCCTTATCCTACTGAGGTATTCTCTGAACATATACATATTTTGAAAGCTTAAGAGTTTTAACTGGTTTTCAAAAACAGGATTAAATATTATCAGGAGGATAGATAAATTATTTTTGTTGCTGTCCTAGCAAGCTAAATGTTCTTATATTGCTAATTTAAAATTTTTTCTTATTTATTTATTAAAAATTAAAAAAACTGGATATGTAGTAGGTGTATATATTTATTAGGGTACATGTGATGTTTTGATATACGCATGCAATGTGAAACAAGCACATCAAGGAGAATGGGTTATCCATCCTCTCAAGCATTTATCCTTTGAGTTAGAATCTAATTACACTCTAAATTATTTTAAAATGTATAATTAAGTTATTATTGACTATAGTCACCCTATTGGGCTATCACGATAGCAGGTCTTGTGGTAGGTCTTATTCATTCTATTTTTTTTTCAATCCATATCCCCAGCCTCCCACTAACCTTCTCAGCCTCTGGTAAACATTCTTTTTTTTTTTTTTTTTTTTTGAGACGGAGTCTCGCTCTGTCGCCCAGGCCGGATTGCGGACTGCAGTGGCGCAATCTCCGCTCACTGCAAGCTCCGCTTCCCAGGTTCACGCCATTCTCCTGCCTCAGCCTCCCGAGTAGCTGGGACTACAGGCGCCCGCCACCGCGCCCGGCTAATTTTTTGTATTTTTAGTAGAGACGGGGTTTCACCTTGTTAGCCAGGATGGTCTCGATCTCCTGACCTCATGATCCACCCGCCTCGGCCTCCCAAAGTGCTGGGATTACAGGCGTGAGCCATCGCGCCCGGCCGGTAAACATTCTTCTACTCTCTGTGTCCATGAGTTCAATTATTTTGATCTCTAGATCCCACATATAAGTGAGAACATGTGATGACATATGTCTTTCTGTGCCTGGTTTATTTCACTTAGCATAATGATCTCCAGTTCCATCCACATTGTTGCAAATGACAGGATCTCATTCTTTTTTAGCTGAATAGGACTCCATTGTGTGTATGTACCACATTTTCTTTATCCATTCATCTGTTGTTGGACACTTTGGTTGTTTCCAAATCTTAGCTATTGTAAACAATCCTGCAACAAACATTGGAGTGCAGATATTTCCTCAATATACTGATTTCCTTTCTTTTGGTTATATACCCGGCAGTGAGATTGCTGGATCATAGGTAGCTCAATTTTTAGTTTCTTGAGGAACCTCCAAACGCTTCTCAACAGTGGTTGTACTAATTTACATTCCCACCAGCAGTATACGAGGGTTCCCTTTTCTCTATATCCTCTCCAGAATTTGTTATTGCCTGTCTTTGACATAAGACATTTTAACTTGGTGAGATGATATATCATTGTAGTTTTGATTTGCACTTCTCTGATGATCAATGATGTCAAACACCTTTTCGTATGCCTGTTTGCCATTTTGATTTCTTCTTTTAAAAAATATCTATTCAAATATTTTGCCCATTTTTGATCAGATTACTGACTTTTTTCCTATAGAGTTGTTTGAGCTCCTTATATATTCTTGTTATTAATCTCTTTAACAAATTAACAAATTTAACAAATCTTTTTGTTAAATTTATCTGATAGGATTCTGAATTCCTTCTCTGTGTTATGGGTAGTTTGTAAATATTTTCTCCCTTTCTGTGAGATGTCTCTTAAATTTGTTGATTGTATCCTTTGCTTTGCAGATGCTTTTTAACTTGATGTGATCCCATTTGTCCATTTTTGCTTTGGTTGCTGAGCTTGTGAGATACTGCTCCAGGAATCTTTGCCCAGTCCAATGTCCTGGAGAATATCCCCAATGTTTTCTTGTAGTAGTTTTATAGTTTGATTTCTTAGATTTAAGTCTTGAATCTATTTTGATTTGATTGTTGTATGTGGCAAGAGATAGAGGTCTAGTTTTATTTTTCTGCATATAAATATTCAGTTTTCCTAGCACCATTTACTGAAGAGACTGTCCTTTCCCCAGTGTATGTTCTTGGCACCTTTGTTGAAAATGATTTCATTGTATGTGTGTGGATTTGTTTCTGGGTTCTCTATTCTGTCCCATTGGTCTATGTGTCTGTTTTTATGCCAGTACCATGCTATTTTGGTTACTATAGCTCTATCATATAATTTGAATCAGGTAATGTGATCCTCCAGTTTTGTTTTGTTTTTTTGCTTTAGGATAGCTTTGGCTCTGTTGTGTGTGTGTGTGTGTGTGTGTGTGTTTGTGGTTCCTTACAAATTTTGGGATTATTTTTTCTATTTCTGTGAAGAATCTCATTGATATTTTGATAGAGATTGCATGAATCTGTAGATTGCTTTGGATAGTATGAACATTTTAACAATATTGATTCTTCCAATCCATGAATGTTGAATTTTTTTTTTTTTGAGATGGAGTCTTGCTCTATTGCCCAGGCTGGAGTGCAGTGGCATGATTTTGGCTCACTGCAACCTCTGCCTCCCAGGTTCAAGTGATTCTCCTGCCTCAGCCTCCCGAGTAGCTGGGACTACAGGCATGTACCACCACATCCGGCTAATTTTTTGTATTTTTAGTAGAGACACGGTTTCATCTTGTTAGCCAGGGTGGTCTCAATCTCCTGACCTCGTGATCCACCCACCTCCACCTCCCAAAGTGCAGGGATTACAGGCATGAGCCACTGCGCCTGGCCGAATATCTTTTTATTTTTTGACGTCCTCTTTAATTTCTTTGATCAATATTTTATAGTTTTCACTGTAGAGAGCTTTCACTTCTTTGGTTAAGTTAATTTTTTGGTATTTAATTTCATTTGTGACTATTGTAAATGGAATTAATTTTTTGATTTCTTTTTTAGATTGTTCATTTTTGGCATATAGAAATGCTACTGATATTTGTATGTGGATTTTGTACCCTGCAACTTTGTTTATCAGTTCTAATAGATTTTTGATGGAATCTTTAGATTTTTTTCAAATACAAGATCATCTACAAACAATAATAATTCGACTTCTTCCTTTACAATTTGGATGCCCTTTTTTTTTTTTCATGTCTGATTGCTCTGGGTAGGACTTTCATTACTATGTTGAATAACAGTGGTGAAAGTGAGCATCCTTGTGTTCCAGATTTCAGAGGACAGGCCTTCAGTTTTTCCCTATTCAGCATGATACTACCTGTGGTCTGTCTTTAGGTTTTTTATTGTGTTGAGATATATTCCCTCTATATCCAGTTTTTTGAGTTTTTTTTTTTTATCATGAAAGGATGTTGAATTTTATCAAATTCTTTTTGGCATCAATTGAAACGATTATATGGTTTTTGTCCTTTATTCTGTTGATATGATGTATCATATTGATTGATTTACATATGTTGAACCATCCTTGCATTGCTGGGATAAATTCCACTTGGTCATGATGAATGAACTTTTTAATGTGTTGTTAAATTTAGTTTGCCAGTATTTTGTTGAGGATTTTTGCATCAATTTCTGTTAATCAGGGATATTGGCCTGTAGTGTTTTTGTTTGTTTGTTTGTTTTTCCCTAGATGTGTCTTTGTGTGGTTTAGGTATCAGGGTAATACTGGCCTCATAGAATTAGTTTAGAAGTATTCCCTTCTCCTCTGTTTTTCAAAATAGTAGGATTGGTGTTAGTTCTTTAAATGTTTGATAACATTCAGCAGTGAGGCCATCAGGTCTTGGGCTTTTCTTTGCTGGGGACTTTTTATTATGGCTTCTACCTCATTACTTGTTATTGGTCTGTTTTGGTTTTGGATTTTTTTATGGTTCAATCTTGGTAGGTTGTATGTGTCTAGGAATTTATGCATTTCTGCTAGGTTTTTCATTTGATTGGCATATGGTTGGTCATGATGGCCTCTAATGATCCTTTGAATATCTGCCACATCAATTTTAGTGTCTTCTTTTTTCATTTCTGATTTTATTTATTTGAGACTTGTCTTTTCTTCTGAGTCTGGCTAAAGTTTGTCAGTTTTGTTTGTCTTTTCAAAAAGCCAAGTTTTTTGTTTTGTTAATCTTTTATATTACTTCAGTTCAATTTCATATATTTCTTCTTTAATCTTTATTATTATTTTTTTCTATTAATTTTGGGTTTGTCTTGCCCTTGATTTTCTAGTTATTTAAGATGCATCATTAGGTTGTTAACTTTTTCTACTTTTTTGATGTAGTTTCTTACGGCAATAAACTCTCCTCTTAGTACTGCTAGTGCCATATCCCACAGGTTTTGGTATGTTATGTTTTTGTTATCATTTGTTTTAAGAAAATGTTCAATTTCTTTCTTAATTTCTTTATTGACTCACTGGTCATTTAGGAGCAGTGTTTAATTTCCATACGTT